>NC_000002.12:4858484-5161515 GCF_000001405.40 Homo sapiens | reverse complement strand
ATTCTGTGGCTTGCATTTTTATTTTTACATGATTTTTTTGAATTTCAAGTATTCAGACATTTCTGATAAAGGCCAATCTATTTTTTCTTTCTTGATTAATGTTTTTCATATTTTACCTGTGAAATATTTGTTCCCTCTAAGTAAAAATAAAAAGCTCTTCTTCTGTTTGCTTCTAGAAGTTATAAAGATTTTCGCTTTCACATTTAGGTTTAAGACCCACTATGCTTTACTTTTATGTGTGAGGAAAGGGCCAAAGTTAATTTTTTGGTCATCTTAAAATTGTAGCAATAATTTCCAATTTTCCTTTAAAGCTTTTGTATGAATTTTTGTAAATATCCTCTGAATGTATATTTTTTCTGACACTATGCCAAGTATTATATTTTATTTCAAGTTCTGTTTACTGTTAGTACGTAAAAATACACTTGATCTTTTATATTGATATTAATATTCTGAAACCTTGTTAAAATCATTTATTAGTTCCAGGAGTTTTTTGTAGGGATTAGCTAAGAGTTGAAAAAAAAAAGTAATCATCGTACTGACTGTGAAATAGAAAGTTTTACTTTTTCTCTCCAATCAATGTGCCCTTTATTTCTTTCACTTGACCAATTTCTCTGGTGAGGACCTCCAGTGACATGTCAACCAGGAGTGGTGAGAAAGACCAGGCTAGCTTTGTTCCTGACCTTAAGAGTAAAGGATTCAGCCTTTCATCATCACGTATGTTGGCATCTGAAAGTTTTTCATGGATATCCCTCCACAGCCTGAAGACATTTTCTTATACTCAGGGTTTCTTGAGAGTTTTTATCATGGATGATGGTTTAGAGAGAGCAAAGGTAAACATCAGCTGTGCTGTGATCTATTTTTTCCCTGATTCCTTGTAGGACCAACTTGAAGAAATCACAGAAGACAGGAGACTCAACCCAATATTCGCCCTGCAATAACTGGACCTTCGCATAAATAGATTAATGATATCAGCTTAGAGGAGAGTCTGTGGAACGCTCTTCACAGAATGACGCTGGCTTAGATCTGCTTATGATAGACACACCCAAAAATCAATGGCATTGTTATGAGGCACCTGTCCCTGAAGGATGTTCTGTAACCTATGCAGAACTCTGAGGTACAAAATAGAAATGTACAAAAAAAAAGTTTCCTAAGAAAAACTGTCTCTATCCAGTGAGGAAATAATCTTTGAATAATAAGAATTTAAACAGTTTTGATAAAGTCCAATTTATCTATTTTTTTCTTTCTTGATTCATGTTTTCCATATTTTACCTAAGAAATATTTGCCCCCTAAGTAAAAATAAAATGCTCCAGAGAGACTCCATCAACTCAGTCCTGACATCACATATCAGAAAAGAAAAAATAGGATCTGTGAAACTATACTCCATGTTTCGGTATTACTCCTGCTTTGATTGTTCATATTCTTCAAGTTATTAATTAAGCTTGATACTGGATTAGATTTCTGATCAATATGAGTCTGAATTGACAACCCAATACTTTGTGCTAAGTGTGAAATTTTTGTCAAGTGATTTTTCTGCCTGTAGAGACGTTAGTATAATGTTAAATCAACTTTGCATTGCTGAGAAAAAAATCTACTTGGTCATAGTGTATTATAATTGTTATATATTGTTGTGTTTAATTTGTTAATATTTTGTTATGGATTTTTGCAAGTATGTTTATGAGGAATATTGATCTGAAGTTTCTTTCATTTTCTTGTAATATATCTTATAATATTAGTGCAATAATGGCATCACTAAGTAAGTTGTAAAGTAGTCATACTTCTGTTTTCTGAAAGAGAATTGTGTAGGTTTGGTATAATTTCTCCCTTAAATTTTTGACAGAACTCATCAGTAGAAACATTTGGGCCTAAAGTTTTCTTGATGGGGAGGCTTTAATTACAAATTCAATTTATTTAATAGATATACAAACACTGTAATTTTGTATGTCTTCTGTTAGTTTTGTTAATATACAGCTTTCAAGAAACTTGGCATAATGTTTATAACTTTTATTTCATATCCTTTTTATGTTTTTATGCTTACATAGTGATAACCCCTCTGTCACTTCTGCTATTAATAATTTGTATTTTCTCTCCTTTTTTGGCTAACATAGCTGGAGTTTTATAATTTTATTAATATTTCCATGAGACAACTATTGATTTTATGTATTTTTCAATTTGTTATCCCTTTGCCATTTCATTGATTTCTGCCTTATCACTATTATTTTCTTTCTTTAACTTAATTTGTAATAAATATACTCTTCTAACTTCTTAAAGTGGAACGTTATACCACTGATTTGAGCCTCTTCTATTGGAAGTTATTTATATTTTTCTTTTAGGAACTGAATTTGCTGCATCCCCAAAATATTACGTATTATTTTTAACATAATTTAATTCAAAATATTTTCTAATTTTTAAAATATATCTTTTTGTTCCATGGATAGCTTAGAAGTATATACTTAATTTTTAAATATTTGGGGATTTTTTTCCAGATGTGCTTGTTATTGATTTTTAATATATTTTCTATTATCATCAGCGTATTTACACTCTTTATGATTCTATGTTTTCTATGTTTAGAAAGAAATATTTTCAGACCTAGTATAAAGTCAGTCTTAGTGAGTCTTCCATGTATATCATAAAAAAGGTATTCTTTCTTTTTGGCTTTTAGTGTGCTGCAAATATTAAGTCAAGCTGGTTGACAGTGTTTGTTAGTCATAGTGTTTTGTATTTGTATCCTTAATGATTTTCTTCTTTTATAAATTACTGATAAAAGTGTATTGAATCTTTAACTATAATTGTGAATTTTTTCTCTTTGCTTTTTTAATTCTATGAGATTTTGTTTTATGCATTTTGTATCTCTGTTATTAGTTGCATACATTTTGAATTTCAGTGAGTTTCTTATTTGTTGATCACTTTACATTATGAATTACCCATTGTTATCCTTGGAGATAGTTCTTCTTCTGAAATTTATTTGTTTAATCTTGGTAAAATCATCTTTCTGTAAGGTCCATTTTTTAAAATTTAATCATTTAACTTTCAACTTACCTAAATATTTATATTTAAAGAGAGTTTTTCTTGTAGAGTTCACATAGTTGAGTCATTCTTTTTTATCCAGTCTGACAATCTCTGCCTTAGATTTAGAATGTTTAGATATTTATAATTAATATAATTTGATATATTTGGATTTAAGTCCCAGGCTTAAATTATATGTATTATCTATGTATCCCCTTTGTTCATTGTTTCTTTTCTCTTATTCTTAAGCATTATTTTAAATAAACTTTACTCAGGGTGTTTGGTTGTTTGCTTTCCATTTTACTTGATTGGTTGGTTAATAGATAAAACTCTTTGTGTTTGCGTGTGTGTGTGTGTGTGTGTGTGTGTGTGTGTTTAGTCATTGATTTAAAATTTACAAATATACAATGAACTTATTATAATCTACTTTAAAATTTTATTATACCACTTCATGTAAAAGTCAAGAAGCTTTTAACAATAATTTCCATTACCCTCCTCTCAAAATCTGTGCTGTCGTTTTCAAATGTTTTAATTGTATATAGGTTATCAACTCAAAAATTCAAGTGGTTAGTTTTTGTGTTTGGAGGTTATTTTTAATTAAAAACTAAAGAAGTTTTTATATATTTTTTAAATTTTTGCTTTCATATTTATACCCACATTTTCTTGTTTATGTGGCTTTCATTCTTGTAATGTTGATCTGCAATTCCCCCAAGTGTCTATTTTTTTTAGCCTAAAAAATCTTTCTTTAATATTTTCTGAAGTGTAAATTTGCTGGTAAAAGATTACCTCAACTTTGGCAGCCCTGAAGAAAATATATTTTACCTTTAATATTTGAAAGATATCACTTGATAAAGAATTCTAAGTTGGCAGTCCTTGTTTTAACACTTTAAAAGTTGGTGTTTAAATTTCGTATGCCTTTCCTTGCTCCTAATGATAAATATGTCATCCTTATACTTCTCTCCTTACAGAAAATCTATATCATGCTTTTCTTTTTATACTGCATATGCATTTTAAGTATTGTCTCTTTATGAGTGTTTATTAACAATCTGATCATGATATACCTTCTTAAGGTTTTAATTGTTTATATCTTGCTGGAGTTTGTTGTACTTCTCAGATCTGTATGTTTAGAATTTTCATGAAATTTGGAAAACTGGTGGCCATTGTTTGTTTCAACCTTTTTAGCCCTTCCTCTCTTGCTTTTCTTCATTTTTCATGCCAATTAAATGCATTTTAGACATCTTGATATTATTCCACTGGTCACTGAGGTTTTGTTCTTTTTTTTTTTAATCTCAGTCTTTTTTTATCCTTTTTCTTCAGGTTAGCTAATTTCCATTGCTACGTTTATGTTTTCAAGTCCCCAGTTTCTTTCTTCTGCAATGTCTATTTTGCAGTTTATTTAATTTGGTGTATTTTGCATCTCTAATTATTACATTTTTCAGCCCTATAGGTACCATTAATTTCTATTATCTTTCTTTTTCCCTCATTACGTTTATTAAAAAAGAACCATGAAGTCACTTACAGCATCTATTTTAAAGTAATTGACTGCTAATTTCATCATTTCTTTTATTTAAGCATTTGGTTTTATTTCTGCATTTGGATTTTTCTTTTAGTTATACACTTGGATTTCTCTTCAGTTTATGGGTCAGTTTTCACTTTTTTCCCCAAAGCTTTTGAATTATTTTTGTCTTCTTGAGATTTTGAATATTGCATGGTTTTATGTTTCAATTGTATTCTCTTCTTTTAAAGGGTTTTGACGTTTGTTTTCAAGTTACTTGCGGATCAGTTTAATCCTTTGAATCTTGTATTTTAGGTCTGTTAGGGAAGGTACCCTCTTTTTGAGGGCCAGTTTAGTCTTATTCCCAAGACATGGATCTCCTGGGATCTACTGAATGACTTTGGGTTTTTGACACCGTCTCTGGGTCTGGCTCTTAAAAACCATAACATAGCTCCCCACCCCAGCTCAGCAGTTAGTCCTTGCCCAGTCTAGTGGAGTTTTGCTTTACATATGAGCAGACTAAAATTCAGTCCAAGACAAAGTTCTAAAATATTGCTAAGAAGAAGAATCTGCATGCAAAGTTTAATTAATAATTATGATGGAGATACTCACTCCCCTGTAGACCAGGCAGGCTCTTGCTGAGCACACCCTAGTACCGTTCAGATGCTTTGCCTACTTTGCTTCTTCACTGCCTCTGTCTCTCCAGTACCTTCACAAAGATGCTTCTTTCTTGCACTTGACATATTAGCTGATTACTAAAGAGTCAACTAATATATGTAAGTAGCTCTTAACAATAAGTGCATTTGTGCTGGAGACTTAAGGTGAAAATGATCCTACGACAATCAAAGAATAAGAAGGGTCATCTTCCATAGACTGGGTATGATGTGGACAAACACTCATTCATACCACAGTGGAGGCTACAGCCCCAGAATGCCAAGCCCAGAGATGGTTCTCTGCACTTCAAGTATTCTGTTGGCAAATAAAATAGTATATGAAACATTAATATATTGCAGCATTATACAATTAGTATACAGAAATCATTTAGTATATTCAAAAATAGATGAAGAAATGAGCAAGTTACTAATGGTTTTATATTTATAAGAATTAGGTTTAGTATCAGTGTAAATGCATGATCTGCTTTCTTTTATTTCAGTGCACTTATTCTTTCAACACCTACAAATAAAGAGTTAGTGCATCTTTCAAATTGTTGAAATAATAGACTTTAAACTTTTAAAATGCGAGGGAATTTGAATGTGTACATTTGCTATTATAAATGTGATCAGCAAGACATGTATTCTCTTCTTTAAAAAACTTTTTCTCTCTATTACATGTATTTCCAAATGACTAGTTTTATATACCTGTTTTTTTTTTTCCATTGTGATCTTCTTAAGCAATTAGATTTTCTAAAGAACAGGACAAATGCAAAATAGTCTAGTTCTAGGGCAGAGATATGTGTCAAAAGGAAATTATATCTAATCCTATGTACTAAATATCAGTAAGTAAAGGAAGAAACACTGAATAAGTAAGCTTTACTGAAGGCATACTTTTAATAGAAAATATATCCCAGGCCTGATTAAAATCCTCTGCATTTCGGAGCATGTTGTACCAGACCTACATACTCAGTATCTTGTCCTGCTTGTTACCTTCTGAGTACCAGTTATAATTGGGAAGTTCATTTACAAATCTTGAGTTTTTCAATTCTTGATTACTGGAAAATTTCTCTCTCTCATACACGTACACACATCATTACCTTCAGACCATTTGGCAACAACTGAGATTTACATGCCTACTTTTATGATCAGTTCTTCATGTATGAGAATACACCAAAAAATAATATTTCAAGTTTTTTATTTTAATTACAGTTTTAGAGTTTAGCATCTAAAGTTAATTTGGGTGAAAAATAAAGCTTTCTTATTTAGACTGTGCAAGGAGAAGTATTAAATATACATGTATGTTTTAATGTAGGCTTTAAAAATAATTTATAATGTTTTCAATGTAGATTTTTTAACACGTAATAGCACTTTTATTTTGGGATTAAGCAGAATATAAATTACTTGAGGATATAAATGCATATAATTTACACATATGCATATATATTACATATAATATGCATATGTGCCTGCATATACATAAGAATTTGGCAACTCTAATAGAAAAGTATTTACCTAGCTTAATTTGCTTTCACAGTATTGCCAGTCTCAAAAACCACATTTATTTTTCCTTTAGAAATCACTATTTGCCCAGCATTGCAAAATGTTTGTTTTTAATTGCCATTCAAGACCAAATTTGACGTTTATTTTTTCTGTACTGTGGAGAAGGCTAATGGGAGCTAAGTAAGAAGGAGTTGATGTATGTGTGTTCATCTCTTCTTAACCTCTAACCCCAGAATTATAAGAAATATAGATTTAACAAAGGTTCTATTAGTTAGTGGCTATATGCCTTTTTGACTTTTAAAAATCTCCCAGAGTCTTGGCCAGGTGTGGTGGCTCATGCCTGTAATCCTAGCACTTTGGGAGGCAGAGGCGGGTGGATTACCTGAGGTCAGGATTTCGAGACCAGCCTAACCAACATGGTGAAACCCTGTTTCTACTAAAAATACAAAAATTAGCTGGTCCTGGTTGTGGGTGCCTGTAATCCCAGCTACTCCAGAGGCTGAGGCAGGGAATCTCTTGAACCTGGGAGGTGGAGGTTGCAGTGAGCCCAGATCACACCATTGCACTCCAGCCTGGGTGACAGAGTGAGACTCCGCCTCAAAAAAAAAAAAAAAATCTCTCAGAGACCCAACCAACTTATGTATAAATGGGCGTATTTGGTTTATACATTCATATCCAAGGAACTACACATCAGTCCCTTAATTAGATGCTGAGAATGAGCTTGTAAGTTATGATACTCGTGAACTCTGCTGTGTCTTGGAATTTAGGATTAGAACAGGACAACTAAAAAGGAGGTTACAGAACAATATTAGAAAGTCTTATCAGGCCCGTAACATGGACTTAGGGGTTGAGGAAACCCTGAAGTTAGAAACGTCTAACTTAGGGTAAAAGACAAGTAGGATAGAGCTAGGTAGGTGGGAAGGAAAGAAGAAAGTAGTGAAGGGACCAGGTAGGGGTTCTGCAGATTTTCCATGCTAGCACTGACTGTGGTCCACCCAGGGATGTGGCAATGGGGACTGGAGGAAGTGGCTGGGGAGTAGGGAAATGAAATGATTCATGGTCATTAAATTTTAAGTGTACTTCAATGTAGTGAAGTGAAGAATGGCATCCATGGACCCAGAGCAGAACTTGGTTGATGGAAGTGTTATTCATTAAAATGGGGGTATGACAGGAGATATGGACTTGTTATGGAAAATCATAGGTTCAGTTTTGGACATTAAGAATTTTGCATGTCTGTGGGATGAGGAATCAAATGGAGAGTCCAGAAAGCAACTGAAGATAAATTCTGAAGCTCAGGTAAAGGATCTAGATCAGAGGTAAAAACAGTCTTTGGAGATCCACAGGAGGAGGCAGGGGTAATGCAACCAGAATGACGTGGCTGGAGCACAGTCGGGGGAGGACTAGCAGGTGAGGACTCCTCAGCCCATACCAGAGTCTGAAACAGGCAGCTTTAGGAATCGGAGCAAAACCAGGTGTGTGGTGGACTAGAAACCAAGACAACAGAGTGTTTCTAGGATGGGGCCCTATTCAAAAGTGGGAGGTGATACAAGAAAAACTATGTATCAAAATGTTCTACTGAATGTATCAATAGGACTGTCACCAGGGATATTCACAGGATATGCTTGTATGTCATGATTAACCTGGAAGTCAGATTTTAAAATCCAAAAAGTGAATGGGAAATACGAAAATGGAAACATGAAGTAGAGATAATAATTAAGAAGTCTGGGTGTGAAGAGAAAGGAAAGACAGAAACATAGAGTTTGCAGTAGATACAGAATCCAAAAAAACGATGTGTGAGAACTCCTAACTTTTGGCATTACAGATTGAAGAGGTTGACAAATCCTACTCTCACAAAGCAAACTACTGAAACTGACAAAAAACTATTTCGGTCCTCTGGTAATGCACCAATGGTACACAACAGAAACAAATCATTTATTCATAAGAACTACTGTAAGTTGAGTAAGGACAGTGTGAACCTGGGGTTTTGCTGCCTGGGGCTACTCCCATCGCTCCTCCCTAAGCTTGGCCAGTGTGGGGATTCAACTGGGAGCAGAGGAGAGGTGCAGGCCCTGAAAACCTGCAGCTTCCCTGGTGCTGCCAGCATGAGCTCTCTCCAAGGAGAGCCCCATGAGTTAAAGTGGTGAGCTAGGTGCAAGCCGGCTGGGGGTGGGGTAAGGGAGGCAGCAGCTCTGGTAGCTTGACGTTCAGGTCTTGTGTCAAGCAACAGACTGCCCCACTAGCTGGTAAGTTAGCAGGGAGCTTTGGGAAATGAGATGGCCATACATGGATTAATAAGCTCTCCATTCCAGCATGACCACAGAGGCCCAGGCCACCACACCTTCTGGCTAACAGAGCCTGTGCCCATGCACAGAGGGCACATGGCAGAGACCAGCAGAAAATAAAACTGAGGCAGATCTGGAAACTAAGTCTAGTTTCAATGTACTCCCTGGTTCACACACCTATATATCAGCCGACAGTGTAAACCACACTGACTTGAGTTGAGGTTTTTGAATACAACTTCTGGCCAATCTTTAGCTGAACACTAAGCTATGCAGACATAGGTGTAGCCCCAACATTAAACCAAACTTAAAAAGAAAAAAATGACAAACGCAAAGCTGCCTACAACGTGTGGGAGATAGCTTTTGAAGGTTGAGTCCAGGCAAGTTACAAATTGCAACAATAACAACAACAAAAACCCACAGCAGGCTAAAGTTAACACACACACAAAAGTGAATAAAGCATGTTCTTTAAAACCAGGGTCCCCAACTCCCTGGCCGTGGACCGATGCAGGTCCATGGCCTATTAGGACCCGGGCCACACAGCAGGAGGTGAGCAGCAGGCCTGTGAGCAGGACCGCCTGAGCTCCCTCTCCTTTCAGACCAGCGGCAGCATTTGTTTCTCTTAGGAGCACGAACACTAGAGGCGAACTGCCCACGCGAGGGATCTACGTTACAAGCTCCTTAATGAGGTGGAACGGTTTCATCCTGAAATCATCCAATACCCCTTTCCACCTCCTAGTCCGTGGAAAAACTGTCTTCCACAAAACTGGTCCCTGGTGCCAAAAAAGTTGAGGACTGCTGGGTTAAAATATTCAGTAATTTTTAAAAATCAAGATATTCAAAGAAATAAGAAAGAAATAGTCTGGAGAAAAAGTTAGCCAATAGAAAGCATTGCTGAATGTGCCCAGATATTGACTTTAGTAGGCAAAGTCTTCATAGCAGCAATTACAGTTGCCTAAAAAAACTAATAGAAGCCATGCCAAAAGGCTTATACAAAAGTATGACAATGACTCAGGGACAATAAAGCAAATATAAAACACAAAAATATGGAAATTCTAAAATTTAAAACTATAGTAATTGAAATGGGAAAAATGCACTAGATGGACTCAGAAATGTATTTGAAGTGATAGAAAAAAGAATCAGTAAACTTGAGGATGCATTCATAGAAATTATCCAATCTCATGGACAGAGAGAAAAAATGGGGAAGAAAAATAAACAGAGCAGCATAGAGTTGTGGGATACATGAGCAATGATAGTGCCAGAAGGAGAAAAGAGAGCGGAAGAGTAATATTTGAGCCAATAATGGCAAAAAGTCCCCAGTCTGGTAAAAATACTAATCTACAGATCCAACAAACCCAACAAAACTCAAGCAGGAAAAAATTCAAAGAGAATCACAACTAAATATATCTTGGTCAAGATTTGGATAGTTAACGATGTAGAGAAAATGTTGAAAGCAACAAGAGAAATATTAGTTATCATGTATAGAGGAACAACAATATGACTAATAGCTGACCTCATCAGAAACGAGGTAGGTCAGAAAGTAAGAGAACGACACAACGTGATGGTTCAAAAATTCAATATCCAGGCCAGGAGCAGTGGCTCATGCCTGTAATCCTAGCACTTTACGAGGCCAAGGCAGGAGGATTGCTTAAGCCCAGGAGTTCAAGACCAGCCTGGGCAACAAAGTGAGATCCTGTCTCTGCTAAATATTTTTTAAAAATTAGCCAAGCATGTAATGCGTGCCTGTTGTCCTAACTACAAGAGAGGCTGAGGTGGGAGGATCACTTGAGCCCAGTAGACTGAGGCTGCAGTGAGTCATGATCTCACCACTGCACTCTAGCCTGGTGACAAAACAAGACCCTGTCTCAAAAAAAAAAAAAAAAATCAATATCCAACAAAGCTATTCTTCAAAATGAAGGTGACATAAAGATATTCCTAGATTAACAAAATCTGAGATATATTAATGCTGCTATGCTTTCAAACAATATTAAAGAAAGTTATTCAGGTTAAAACAAAATGACACCAAACTACTATGCACTGTGTACACAGAAATAAACAAAGGTAATAAGAAAGTATGTGAGTTAATATAAAATTTCACTTTGTAAGTATGTGGGCTAATATAAAATTCTCCCCTCCTCTCTCTCTCTCTCTCACACGTGCACACACACACACACACACAGACATATGTATGTGTGTGGATATGTATACCTGAGTCTTTATTAAAAATATTATATGTATTTATGTATCTATATACCAGTTATACATATCAGCTGTTTTTCTCATTTCTGTTTTTAATTTTCACATGACTTAAGATTGCATAAGGTAATAATTAAAACACTGTATTGCTGGGCATCTAACATAAATAGATATGAAGATTATATATATAGCAATTATAGCCCAGAACAGGAGGAGGGAAAAGTACTGGAAAAAAGTTGCTATATTTTATCAGAGCTAAGTGCACATAATGCCAAAGTATATTGTACTATGATTAGTTGCATATTTTTATCCCTAGGACAACCACTAGGAAAATAACCTATAGCCAATGAATAGAGGAATTAAAAAGGCACACTAAAAATGTTTATTTAACACAAACATAAGGCAGTAAAAGAAAAACAGGGAAACATGAAGACACAAGGCAAATAAAAAAATAGAAAAGTATCTAATACAAATTCTACCATACAAATAATAATATTAAAACTTTAAATGGGCTAAATACCCCATGAAAAAGGCAGAGATTATCAGATTGAATAAAGAGAAATGTATACAAGAGACACATTTTGGATTTAGTGATGCAAATAGGTTTAAGAAAAAATTGTAGAAAAAAGATATACCATGAAAATAATAGCCATAATAAAGCTGGAGTGGCCATATTAATATCAGACAAAATAAAATTTATATAATAAATATTAATATAGAACAACAGAGGTAACTTGTGATAATCACATGGTCAATATATCAAAAAGATATAACAAAAACATATATACACTTAACAACAGAGTACCAAAACACATAAAGAAAATCATAGTAGGAATGGAAAAGACAAGACAATTCAATGATAATAAAAGTTGAAGATGTCAACAGAAAACTTTTAGTAACTGATAGAACAACTAGATGGCAAATCAGCAAAGATGGAAGTCTTGGACAATGCTTTCAACCAACTTGATCTAATTAACATTTACAGAACATCTCACAAAATATTAGCATAATATACATTCTTTTAAAGGATACATTTATTTAAAAAGACTGAAATTCTATAAAATAGGTACTTTGATCACAATGAACTTAATTTAGTGATCCACAATTGAAAAGAAAAATTATAAAACTCAAAATATGTGTAGACTAAACATTACAATACCAAATAACCCATGAGTCAAAAAATACATAACAAAGAAAATTTTAAGACATTTTTGACCTGAATGAAAGCAACAGCACAACGTATACAAATGGATGATATACAGGTAAAATTATGCTTAGAAGAAAATGTATAACTTTAATGCATATATCAGGAAAGAAGAAAGATCTCTAAAAATGATAATAATCTATGCTTCCATCTTAAGAAACTAAAAGAAAAATAATAAAAAAAGTTCCACATCATTAGTCATTAGGGAAATACACACTAAACCACAATAGGTACCATTGCACACCTACTGGAATGGCTATAATAAAAAGACAAACAATCCCAAGTGCTGCTGCAGGGCGGAAACGGAAGCCTCAAAGATTTCTTCAGGTGGAATGTAAAATGGTGTAGCCTCTTTGGAAACAGTTTATTAAGTTAAACATAAACATGTCATAGCAAGTGTACTTAAAAAACCTACTCAATGAAAATATGTGTCCACAAAAGACTTCTGCACAAATATTCGAGGCAACATTATTCACAATAGCTAAAGAGTGGAAACCACACAAAAGTGCCTCAACTGGTGAAGGGATAAACAAAATATGGTATATCCATACCGTGGAATACTTTCCAGCATTAAGAATGAATGAAATGCTGACACATACTAAATCATGAATGAATCCCAGCAACATGACACTAGTTGAAAGAAGCCAGTAGCAGACCATTTATTGTACAGTTTCATTGATATGAAATGCCCAGAGAAGGAAGACTGAAAACAAATAAATCGAGGGAGTTCAGAATATTAGCAAGAGAGTGTTTGAGGCAATAGGCTTTTTTTTGTTTTGTTTTGTTTTGTTTTTTGAGGTGGAGTGTCACTCTTTTCGCCCAGGCTGGAGTGCAATGGTGGGATCTCAGCTCCCTGTAACCCCTGCCTCCTGGGTTCAAGTGATTTGATTCTCCTGCCTTAGCTTCCCAAGTAGCTGAGATTACAAGAGTCTGCCACCACACCCAGCTAATTATTATTATTATTAGTTGTAGTAGTAGAGATGGGGTTTCACCATGTTGGCCAGGCTGGTCTCGAACTCCTGACCTCAGATGATCCACCCACTTCAGTCTCCCAGTGTGCTGTGATTACAGGTGTGACCCACCGCGCCCGGCCATGAAGCACTCAACTTTTGAAATCTAAGTGAAATAGCAAGATGTGAAGTCAGGAAGGCACCTATAGACAGAAACTGGAATTGTCATAGCCTTGATGGGTTAGAGAAGAGTGATGTAGCAACTTCCAAAGAAGAGGACAAGGACAGGAGGCGGAGGCCAGAGAGCAAGGGCTGAGTTCGTAATTTTAGGAGTGGAAGGCTCTGATGAGGCCCAGGGAATAATGGTGTCTCTGTGGAGTTAGACTCCAGAGATTTTGGTTCCGAGAAGCCTGGGGGTGAGGGTGGCAACAGAGGAATGGATACTGGCATCACACAGATGATGCTGAATGAGGCCACTGTGGGAATGAGAATATCATATCAAATGCTTGCATTGTGGCTTTTGGGATTTATACCCCTCTGGTTTCTGGTTTTCTGAGTAATCTTTGACCTGTTTCTTTCCTCGCTTTTGCTCTTTATGTATGCCTGGATACCATTTCGATAGCGTGACTCTGACTTACAACCTTCTGTTCCTGAATATGCTCTCGGTATAAATTGATGCCCTAATTCCAGACTCCCAGGTTCGCTTTAAGAATGGGCTCTTCCACCCTGCCCTGGCCTCACCTATCTCCGTGGACATATTCTGGCTCCTGTGAGGGTCTTGCTAGCTCCCTGGTTCGGCCTTCTCAATCTGCCTGTGGGACACACTGACACCCAATTTCTGAGTATGTTTGATGGAGAATAGAGGGGAATCTTTGATCTGGTGAATACAGATAGTAGCAATCCCTAATGTGTGATACAATGGTGCTTCAAACTCCTGTCTCAGTGTCAAATGTGGGTCTAAGTAAATCAGTAAACTAGTTTTAAAAATTCACCTTTGCCAGTCTTAGTCTTAATGGAATGATTTAATTAATTGATACAGTGACTTTCTCTTGTATATCTCCGGGCAGCTTACGAGATATACTTTTCTTCAAGATACTGTATTACAATATTCCCATTACCAATAGTCATGGAAAAGAATAACATAATTATTATAATATACTTTTCAAAGCAGAGTAAACCATTAAAAAATGAAAGTTCACTTAAATAGATGGTCCTATATAGTATGCAACCAAAACTTATTTGTGATATGTATTTGCTACAGAGCACACTACATCCCAATGTGATTATGGCTGTGTGCAATGTGATAGCAACTTAATTTAGCAATGAGGTTTCCTACTTCTTGCTCTTATTTATAGAAGTAGATGTTTGGTCAAATTAATTTCTATGTTTACCAAATAAATTAAATACACTTTGGTCAAAATGTATTGATATTACTTTTTCAGATCCTACTTACATAAATCTTTCATTACCTACTATTTTAATGTGTAAAACTAATTTTCTCTTGATATAAAATTTATAGTAAGTGTAAGAGTGTACATTGAAAGACCAACATTCAATAATAAGCCTAAATGTTATCTAAGTGAACGTTTCTGTAACCTCTGTGGGTTTCTTTTTGTGCTGTTACTGATCTGAAAGAAAAATAGACTAAACTAGGTTTGTTTTTTTTTTTTTTTGCTTATTCTCAATTAATATTTTGGGATTCAAATATAAAGTTTAAGAGAGACTTCAGGGAGTATTTTTCCATGGCAGGCAAAGTGAGCAAAAGAAAACTAAAATAATTTTTTTCTCTGCAGAAAAATCATCACCAGGCTGGGTGCGGTGGCTCACACCTGTAATCCCAGCACTTTGGGAGGCCGAGGCTGGTGGATCACCTGAGGTCGGGAGTTTGAGACCAGCCTAACCAACATGAAGAAACCCTGTCTCCAATAAAAATACAAAATTAGTTGGGGCGTGGTGATACATGCCTGTAATCCCAGCTACTCGGGAAGCTGAGGCAGGAGAATCACTTGAACTTGGGAGGCAGATGTTGCGGTGAACCGAGATCGCGTCATTGCACTCCAGCCTGGGCAACAAAAGTGCAACTCTGTCTCAAAAAAAAAAAAAAAAAAAAATCAACCTTCTCTGGTGGAAAGTGGCTGTGTTCTCAAAAAATACTGCACATCTCACATAGGGAAAGACACCACAGACCCAGAGGATGAAGGAGGTATAAAGGTGATAACTGGAACTAACGCCAGACCACAGGCTGTTGATGTGGTGTGATGCTCTGTGAAATGAATTCAAGCATTAAATCCAACAAGGATGAGTTCAAGCATTAAATCCAACAAGGATGAGTTCAAGCATTAAATCCAACAAGGATGAGTTCAAGCATTAAATCCAACTCTGAAATGCAGGTCTCCAGCATTCTTGCTATTTCTCCTGCATTCTTGCTATTTCTAGAACTTTGAGCAAGTGTTTTCCTCTCTGAATCTAAGTTCAGTATGAATAAATGAAAGTAACTCCTTATAACACAGTTTGTTGTGAAGAATAAAGACAATATTTAGCACCTGTAATATAATTGGCACTTAATAAGTTTATCTAAGGAGGGCAGTAATTAGGAAGAAAAACAGGTGAGTTGTTATCCATGTGTAAAATATGACGGATTTAGTGAAGTGAAAACCAAAGCATAATCAGGTCCTAATTAATCATCTTTAAAAAGATACATAACATTATATTGAAGAATAAGCAACTATCAAGAAATACCTATTACTTAGTACAACATTTAAATATTTGATGTTACAACTTGTTTGTAGGAAATGAGAAAGGAACTTATTTGCATAGCACACATTATTACATAGAAGATCAACAGGGAGAATTACTGTTTATGAAACGCTTCAGAATAAGTCATTTCTCATCATCACAACCACTCTTCGAGGCAGGCATTTCATCCCTGTTTTACGGGTGGAAAGTATGGGCTCAGAGAGTTTAAAATATTTGACAGCTGACAGAGTCCAGAACTGAGATTAAAGCCCAGGTTGACGCTCATAGTGACTTCTTTCCAAAGACTACTATGTGGAAAGGGGAACAAAACAGTGAGTTTACAGAGGAGAAAGAGGACCTCCCTCCTCTACCAGGTGAAGACGGCGAGTACCCACAGTGACAGACCGGGATGTGAGGAGCATGGCCCCTCGCCTCTGTGGGCTTCCTCCCCAAAACCCACAGTCCAATCTATGACAAAAACATCAGACAAATCTCAATTATGAAACATCCTACAAAATACTCAGTTAGTAGCACATAAAATTGTCAGGGTCTTCAAAAGTAAGAATGCCCAATAAATTGCCATCGCCTTGAGGAGCCGAAGGGGACATGACAACAAAATATAAGGCAGTGTCCTGGATGGGACCTGCATGGGAACCTGGAACAGAAAAAAGAAAGGCAAGTAAAACACAAAACAAACAAACAAACAAGAAATACAAGTAAACCATGGATTTTAACTAATAACAATGGACCAATATTGGCTTATTTATTGGGCCACATGCCCCATATTCACGGAAGTTAGGAAACACTGGGTACAGAGCATAGGGGAACGCTGTTCTGTTTCCATTAGTTTTCTACAAATCTAAAATTGTGCCAAAATGAAAAGTTTATTTTAAAAAGCAGGCCTATAGTAGGAACAGATCCTGTCTATCACTGCCTGGAGTTTTACTTTGGCTGAGGAATCTACAATCTTATGTGGAGAAAAAAAAGTAATGTTTAATTTGCTGGAAACATTAAAATCCTTTGGCCTGAAACCAGGTAGAGTTCTCGCTGATAGCTAAAGATCCTCATGACGGCTCGTGAGGTGCCGGTGCTATGACAGCTCCTCGGCCTGTGTGCTGGGGCAAGAAAGACTCAGAAATGCATTTGGTGATGACAACGCCCTGTGTCTTCTCATTCTCACTATGTTCCCCTCAGTATCTGACAGAGACACTGCACATCAGCGATAATTAAAAAAAAAAGATGAATGAGGGCTGGGCACGATGTCTCACGCGTGTAATCCCAGCACTTTGGGAGGCCTCCGGAGGCGAGCGGATCACACAGGAGTTCGAGACCAGCCCGACCAACATGGTGAAACCCTGTCTCTACTAAAGATACAAAAAATTAGCTGGGCATGGTGGCGCGCCTATAATCCCAGCTACTCGGGAGGCTGAGGCAGGAGAACCACTTGAATCTGGGAGGTGGAGGTTGCAGTGATCCGAGATCGTGCCATTGCACTCCAACCTGGGTGACAGGGTAAGACTCCATCTCAAAACAACAAACAAACAAACAAACAAACAAAATAACAAAAAAAGAGGAATGAGTGAATAAGTTAAAACAATGTAAATCCAGCTGAAAAATTAAAACAATATGAAACAACTATCAAAAGAAAACCAACCCAATTTTTTTTTTTTTTTTTTTTTTTTTTTGAGACGGAGTCTCTCTCTGTCGCCCAGGCTGGAGTGTAGTGGCGCGATCTCGGCTCACTGCAAGCTCCGCCTCCTGGGTTCACGCCATTCTCCTGCCTCAGCCTCCCGAGTAGCTGGCACTACAGGCGCCCGCCACCACGCCCGGCTAATTTTTTTGTATTTTTAGTAAAGACAGGGTTTCACCATGTTAGCCAGGATGGTCTCAATCTCCTGACCTCATGATCCACCCGCCTCGGCCTCCCAAAGTGCTGGGATTACAGGCGTGAGCCACCGTGCCCGGCCACAACCCAATTTTTTAAAAAGATAGTGTTTAATGTAATGTTGGAAAACACACCCAGAAAATTGATTTTCCCTTCAGCCCCACATTTGGCAGCTTACGGATAAGAACTATGTTTTCCTAATGTGTTAACAATCTTGTAAAAAATCATCTCCAATAACAAATGCATTTAAACTTATACCACCAATATTCTCCTCCTTGCACCATTAGCACAAAGTGAATTTTCTCCCAATATAGACTGAAATAAAGTCTTTCCATTTAAAATAATGTAAAATAAAAAGGTAAAAAACATTGTTTTGAAGAAAGAGGATGCATGGGGTAGATTAAATGTCTTCAGATGTTAGCACGATTTTCAGGTAAGTGGACAGAAAAACACTCTTGTGCAATTCTCTTTTTTTTTTCTTTTATTATTATACTTTAAGTTTTAGGGTACATGTGCACAATGTGTAGGTTAGTTACATATGTATACATGTGCCATGCTGGTGCGCTGCACCCACTAACTCGTCATCTAGCATTAGGTATATCTCCCAATGCTATCCCTCCCCCCTCCCCCCACCCCACAACAGTCCCCAGAGTGTGATGTTCCCCTTCCTGTGTCCATGTGTTCTCATTATTCAATTCCCATCTATGAGTGAGAATATGCGGTGTTTGGTTTTTTGTTCTTGCGATAGTTTACTGAGAATGATGATTTCCAATTTCAGCCATGTCCCTACAAAGGACATGAACTCATCATTTTTTATGGCTGCATGGTATTCCATGGTGTATATGTGCCACATTTTCTTAATCCAGTCTATCATTGTTGGACATTTGGGTTGGTTCCAAGTCTTTGCTATTGTGAATAATGCCACAATAAAGGCTACAGTAACCAAAACAGGGTGGTACTGGTACCAAAACAGAGATATAGATCAATGGAACAGAACAGAGCCCTCAGAAATAATGCCACATATCTACAACTATCTGAACTTTGACAAACCTGAGAAAAACAAGCAATGGGGAAAGGATTCCCTATTTAATAAATGGTGCTGGGAAAACTGGCTAGCCATATGTAGAAAGCTGAAACTGGATCCCTTCCTTACACCTTATACAAAAATCAATTCAAGATGGATTAAAGACTTACATGTTAGACCTAAAACCAAAACAACCCTAGAAGAAAACCTAGGCATTACCATTCAGGACATAGGCATGGGCAAGGACTTCATGTCTAAAACACCAAAAGCAATGGCAAAAAAAGACAAAATTGACAAATGGGATCTAATTAAACTAAAGAGCTTCTGCACAGCAAAAGAAACTACCATCAGAGTGAACAGGCAACCTACAAAATGGGAGAAAATTTTCGCAACCTACTCATCTGACAAAGGGCTAATATCCAGAATCTACAATGAACTCAAACAAATTTACAAGAAAAAAACAAACAACCCCATCAAAAAGTGGGCGAAGGACATGAACAGACACTTCTCAAAAGAAGACATTTATGCAGCAATTCTTTCTATACAACATTTTACTTTCTGCTTAGAATTGGCTATTACATATAAGTAAACAGAAGGGTCTACAATATGCCAGGCTATTTCCTACTGAACAAAATGATGTTCATTTTTTATATCGGTGTTGGACTTCATTCTAATGCTCCCTAAATTATAGTCTGCTGCAAAATTAAGCAAGACAATTTTTGTGAAGACCCATAATACATGTAAAACCACAAAGCAAAGAATACTGACTCTTCAGCAATTCAGGTGCTTGCACTGATTTAGAATAAAAATTGGGAAGAATAATAGAGAAGTACAACCACATCATTGTGTTTAATATGGCTAATGGATAATAATTTACATGAATTTCTTTGGTATGTCATGATACAAAAATATCTGCTTTCTGTTTGTTGGTTTGTTTTCTTGAAATGCAGATGTTTCTAAGAATGTAACTTTGTAGGACTTCTTTACTTCAGGACCTGAACCATATTTGTGAAGGTCAGAGAAGAGTGGTCCTAAAAATAATAAATATGAGAAAGAAAAGAAAAAATTTACATTTCCTGTTCAATTCCCACTTACAAGCATCCCTCAAAGCTATTACAGGTCTGTTCCAGACTACTTCAATAAAGTAAATATTACAATGAAAAGAGTCACATGGCTGGATATATTTTGGCTTCTGAGTGTATATACAATTTATACTTATGCTATGTTGTACTTTGTGCAATGACATTATGTCTAAAAAAAGTACATACCTTAATATAAATACTTTATTGCTAAAAACTGTTAATGATCACCTGAGCCTATAATACATTCTAATCTAATATTTTTGCTGGTGGAGGGGCTTGCCTCAATGTTGATGGCTGCTGACTGGCCAGGGTGGTGGTTACTGAAGGTTGGGGTGGCTGTGGCAGTTTCTGAAATGAAACAATGAAGTTTGCTGCATTCATTGACTCTTCTTTTCACAAAATATTTCTCTGTAGCATGTCATGCTGTTTGGTAGCATTTTACCCCCAGTAGAATTTCTTTCAAAATTGGAGTCAGTCCTCTCAAACCCTGACAACTGCTTATCAACTAAGTTTATGGACTATTCTAAATTCTTTGTTGTCATTTCAACAGTGTTGATGCAGCTTCACCAGGTGTAGATTCCATAGATTCCATCTCAAGAAACCACTTTCTTTTTTAAAAAACTTGTATCTTATTTTTATTTTTTATAAGCAAGCTTTATTATGTATGAACTTTATTTCACATACAAAGTTAGAATGGCAATTTTACTTAAAATTAATTCATTAAAAAGTGTAAATATCACAGCATAGTTACGTTATCCAAAACTCCAAAAGATAGTGAAACTGGTAACAGATACTGCTACTCATCTATGGACACATACAACCAACAACAGTATTAATGAAACTGGTCTCAGACAAGTATGTATCACTTACCCCTGTGCCTTAGGTAAGAGAGGATGTTCTAACACAGGGATTGTTGATGCAGTGACTCATGGATAGTTGCTCTTTATTAACACTGCTAAAATTAGGTTCACATTTTTTACTTCGTGTGGGAGCTGATGACTCTTGTCCTTTTGTTTTTTGAGGGATATCTTTCAATGTGCTGGCATCGAACCCACTCATTCCAAAATGTATCACAGATGGGAATTTGAGTTTCTTCACAAAGCAAACCACTGAAAATTCATTGGTAGTATCCAACATTGGTCTGTAACTGATCTCCAATAATGTGGCAATGTCATTTCTTTGGAACATCATTTTCTTGGTCCCAGAAGAAGTGGCAGGAAATAAACTCATAGTTAAATGAGAGCAAACATGTTATATGACAAGTTATCTTCCAGATCTATGTCACCAATTCTAGCTTCCATGTTGTTATCAAAGGGCCTTATTTTCATTCTGACTAACAACCAATCATCAGAACACGTTGAAACTATTGTTGGGGTGAGTCCAGAAGAATTCTAAAATAATAAAGAGGAAGGACCTGCCTAAGAGCACAAGGTCTTCATCATTCCAGACTCCAAGACACAACAGAGGGAACAGGAAATCTTCAACTTTTAAGTTCAGGGGTACATGTGCAGATTTGTTCCATAGGTAAATGTGTGTCATAGTGGTTTGCTGCACAGATCATCCCATCACCTAGGTATGAAGCCCAGCATCCCTTAGCTATTCTTCCTGATGCTCTCCCTCCCCAACTCCCCTTCCAACAGGCCCCACTGTGTGTTGTTCCCCCATCATGTGTCCATGCATTTTCATCATTCAGCTCCCACTTTTAAGAACATGTGGCGTTTGGTTAAGAAATCACTTTCCTTGATCATTCATAAGAAGTAACTCCTCATCCCTTCAAGTTTTGTCTTGAAATTGCAGCAATTCAGTCCCATCTTTAGGCTCCCTTCTAATTCTAGTTTTCTTTGTTTTGTTTTGTTTTGTTTTTGCTATCTCCCATACATCTGCAGTTAATTCCTCCACCAAAGTCCTGAACTCCTCAAAGTCATCTGTGAGGATTAAAATTAACTTTTTCCAGACTCTCTTAATGTTGATATTTTGACTTCTTCCCGTGAATCACCAATGTTCTTAATGGTAATCACCATCTACAGCAGGTATAGCTTTAAAAAATGTATTTTTCAATAGTAAAGTTAAAAGTTACTCCTTGATCCATGTCTGCAGGATGAATGTTGCATTAGTGGACGTGGAAACATTAATCTCCTTGTATATTTCCATCAGAGCTCTTGGGTGACCAGATGTATTATCAATGAACAGTGATATTTTGAAAGGAATTTTTTTTTTCCTGAGCTGTATATTTCAAAAGTGGGCTTAAAATATTCAGTAAACCATGCTGTAAACAGATGTGCTGTCATCCAAGCTTTGTTGTTCATTTTTACAGTACAGGGAGAATTGATTTAGCATAATTCTAAAGGGTTTTAGGATTTTTAAAGTGGTAAATGACCTTGGCTTCAACTTGAAGTCACCAGCTGCATTAGCCCCTAACAAGAGAGTCACCCTGTCCTTTGACACTTTGAACACAGACATTGACTTATCTCTAGCGATGAAAGTTCTGGATGACATTTTCTTTGAACAGAAGGCTGTTTTATCTAAGTTGAAAATCTGTCATTTAGCGTAGTCACCTTCATCAATGATCTTAGCTAGATCTTCTGAATAATTTGTTGCAGCTTCTATATCAGCACTTGCTGTGTCACCTTGCACGTTTATTTTATGAAGATGGCTCTTTTCCTCAACCTCGTGAACCAACCTCTGCGAGAATTGAGGAGAGTTAGAGCCATGCTCTGGACTGGTCTTTGGCTTGAGCAAATGTTGTAGCAGTTTGATCTATGCAGACCATGAAAACTTTCTCCAGTCAGAAATAAGATTGTTTTACCTCTCATCTTTTGTTTACTGGAGCGGCACATCTAGTTTCCTTCAATAACTTCCCCTTTGCATTCTCAACTTGCCTAACTGCATGACACAAAGGGCCTAGCTTTTGGGCCGTCTCAGTTTTTTGACTGTTTTCCTTACTAAGCTTCACCAAACTTTTCTACCTTTTAATTTAAAATGAGAGATGTAAGATACTTACTTTCACTTGAATAGATAGAGGCCATTGCTCAGTTATTAACTGGTGTAATGTTAATATTGTTGCGTCTTAAGAAATAGGTGGGACAGAAGAGAGAGAGAGAGGGATGGAGAAAGGCTGGTGAGTGGAGCAGTCAGAACACACACATTTATTGATTAAGTTTGCCATCTTTTATGGGTGTTGTCATGGAGTCCCACAATAATTACAATAGTTCCATCAAATATCACTGATTAGAGATGACCATATCAGATATCATAATAATGAAAACATTGGCAATGTTTTGAAAATTACCAAAATGTAAAACAGATAAAATGTAAGCACAGGTGGTGCTTGGAAAAATGGTGCCAATAACTGTTTGATGCAGGGTTGCCACAAATATTCATTTTATGAAAAAAATATGGTATCTGTAAAGCACAATAAAACATAGTGCAATAAAATGAGGTGTGTGTGTACTCCACTCACTGTGGACTAAAAAAAGGGGCATTCTTTTCCTTTTTAGAGACAGGGTCTCATTCTGTCACCCCAGTTGGAGTGCAGTGGTGGGATCACAGCTCACTGTAGTCTTGAATTCCTGGGCTCAAGTGATCCTCCAGCCTCAGTCTCCTGAGTACTTGGGACTACAGGCGTGTGTCACCATGCCTGGCTAATTTATTATTATGTTCTTAGAAATGAGGTCTCGCTATGTGGCTCAAGCTTGTCTTAAACTCCTGGCCTCAAGCAGCCCTCCTGCCTTGATTCCCCAAAATGGTGGAATTATAAGCGTAAACCACCATGCCCAGCCCAGGGGTCATTCTTATTGCCATGAAAAGACTCAGTTTTTTGAGTTCTGTGATCATTGTTCAACTGAAATACTCTTTAAAGGAAATTTTATGCTCTAATTCCTTTTCTAATAATTTCTTTTCCTAAATTATCAACATAAATACATTCTAAACACACATGTACCTTTGCAGAAATAATACATGAAGTGCACCTGTGCCACTCTCAGAAGTAATTATACTATAAGATTTTACTATGTATTTATAGAAATTATCTATGCTTGTATAAACAAATGTATAGATGCTGATGTACATATAGACATATATTTGTTTCCTGTGGTTTATATAAACAGACGAGCATTAAACTAGGTGGCTTAAGAGACCAGAAATGTATTCTCTCACAGTTCTCAAAGCCAAAAGCCAAAAGGTTAAGGCTTCAACAAAGCTGTGCTCCCTGTAGATGTTGTAGGAGAGGGTCCTTCCGTGCCTCTTGCAGCTTCTAGTGGCTTCAGGGACTCCATGGCTTGTGGCTGCATCATGCCATGTTCACAGGTCCCCAGGGTTGGGACAAGGACATATCTTTTGGAGACAACACAGTTTAAACCATTACAGGGTGTATGGGTACGTGTATATCTACATAAATACACAGAGCTTTAGAAATCCATAGTTTCAAACAGACTCCTAGCAAGAGACAAATACAACCTTCAAATTGAGATAATCTGAGGCGCATTTAATAAAGAGACTATTTGTGTAGGTCTTGGTAGGATAAACTGCAACAACAACAACAAAACCCAGAAGGGATAGTGGATCACCCTGCAGCCAAAGGGCAGAGAAGGAAGTGTGAGCAGAACCCAGGCAGAAAAAGTGGTTTAAAGACAAGTTGACTCTGAGAGGAGCTCTGGTCAGGGGAAGCCATCCGATCTTCTCGGAGTTCTGTGCTCCACGAGAGATCAGCAAGGAGAGAGAATAGCAGAATGAGCCAAAGGGATCCACTTGTCCAAGATGACAAGACACCATTTAGCAAGGTAGCAAGCACATTATTTCTCTCTCTCTTTCTTTTAGAAACAGGTCTCACTGTCATCTAGGATGGAGTGCAATGATGCAATCATAGCTCACTGCAGCCTCCAGCTCCTGGGCTCAAGAAATCCTCCCGCCTCAGACTCTCCAGTACCTGGGATTGCAGATGGGTGCCACCAAACCTAGCCTGAATAATTACTTCTCTTAAAACCAACAAGAATTGAAGATCAGAAAGGGCAGGATTTACAACTTTTTGTTATTACAGTTATATAGAGCCTGGCCATATTGCAAAGACATTTGAATATATTCTAAATGACAAAATATTTTTTAATTCCTCAGAATTAAATATATACGTATTTGATTCATCCCCTCCACCCCCTGGATTGTAGAATATAGCTTTTTAGTTTACTTTTTGCCTAAAATTAGTTGTAGAGACAGCATGTTGTTAAGTAATCAATGATGGAGGATAACATTATGTGATCTAAATTACAGAATAGAAATTAAATACATCTTACAATGAAAGTCATGTTCTCCCAAATGCATTGGTTAAAAAAAGTGGCAGGCAGATCTGGCGGTATTCTATTCTGGCTTCTTTGAGTTTTGCTAGTAGAAGAGAATGATTTATTCTGCTTTACAAGTTTGGTTACATTGCCATATATTATACTTTGTCTATTCTGTCCAAAAACATAATGCATGTCAAACAGATGTAATTCTGTAGTAGAGTGCCAAAATCAGGCTTTCTTCCTGTTATAAATTATTCCTTTCCTATACAGAAGATACACAAAACTTTTTGCCTTGGGCCACTAAAAGATTTACTTATTTATTTATTTTATACTAAAATAGCTTGGGTCTCCTTTTGTAACTAAAGAGATTTAGTTTCCCTGACTTACACTGTCCATGTATTTGCTGATAATTGAAAAATAATGAACTCTAATTTATATTAAAATCTTACTGAACTAATTGAGTTTTCCTTTGCCTACTCCTATATTTTATCAAAATTCCAAAATATGAGGGTCATCTTCACTTTTGACTTGACAATGTGCAGTTGACAAACATTCCTTGAAAACAAAAGTTTCATGTGTTAGAAATGTGGGGTGAATTTATTCCTGTTACATTGAATATCTAGAAAAAAAATGTCTTGAGGATTTTTTTTTTTTTTAGCACCTGGAAAGAGTTTTGGAGGCAGGAAATGAACTCTCCAGCACTACCCCTTCCTCTGGCCTTCCATTACATCTTGTATATTCACTCACATTATATTTATAACAGGATATTATATTAGCAATTTTTACCGAGGCACCAAATAAAAAAAATTGAGGCACTAATAACAGTTAGTTAAAACCACCAAAATGAATTTTGAAGTAGACCATTGATAGTACTTTCAGACATGTGAAATAGGATGCCCCCTAAAACACCCAAAGGGCATAGGAAAAGTTGAGGAGAGGAGTTGTTGAAAATTCCTCAATAAGAGCTGCTGGGATCCTGTGAATCTCACCTCCAAGGGAAACGGTAGGAGGTTCTTAATTCTCACCTTGCACCTAACTGAGATGGGCTTTCACAGGACCACCTGCAGAGATTGAAGTGTGCCCTCTAGACCTTGTGGGACACAGTGAGCTGTCCCTGAATCATGCCAGCTAATTCTTCAGATGGGGAGAGAAACTGGCAGGCTAGATTAGCCCTTGTGTCAAGAGTTTCTTCAAGGAATGAGTGAGTGTTCCTAATGGACCACATGTAAGCCCTGTACCAGCCATCTGGTGTGGAGTCCCCTCAGGTCCTTTCCTATGGGCGGACTGCCCAGACCATAGAATAGCCCTCAGCAAAGGAGGAAGTGAGCTGGCAGGAACTGCAGAAGGGATCAGTGACCCCAGAATAAAGGGGCTCTTCCATGTCAAGGTACGTGGGGCTTCTGAAGAACCCATTGAGGGTTCACAAGCTGCAGATTTTAATGTGGGCCAGACAGAAGGGTATGAAGTCATTTTATAGTAACACCAGTTAGTTAAAACCTCTCTCTCCTCACAGCTACTCCTCCCTGCAACAGAGTCAGAAAAGGCGGCAGAGGAGTGGAGCAGGGAAGGAGGTGAGAGGAGGCAGGAGCTGCCCCTCCTCCTGCTGAGGGCCCTGGCTGATCCCCGGGCTCCTGGAGATGCCTCACCATGGAAAGAACAGGACACATTTGTTGATTAGTGTATTGAAATGTACTTTCTAGTTTCTGAATCAAGACAGTGTTTCGTTCCTTAAAATGACTCTAACCTTTTGAATTATCTGACAATAATTAGAAAATTCTTGAGCCTGTCAGAGTTTTCATTCATGGACAAGGTAAGAACTTCCTCTGTGAAATCAATATCTGAGGGATAATAGGAGCCCGAGGGAAAATGGCTCTGGCTGCCCTGTGTGCTGAGCGTTCTCATCATGCACCGTAACCAGCAGTTGGCCTGTGTGTCCTGTGCAGAGCCCTGTGAGCTTCCAAAGACAGCAGCTCTGCTGTTACCACTGTGCGTTCCCAGCCCGGCTCAATGCGTGGCAAATACAGGTTACTGAATACATATTTTACGTTAGTTGGATGAAAAATTTAGCATAAGGCTAAAATTCTCCAGTATTCAAGTTAGTGCATATGTGTAGTGGGTGGTATTGTGTGTGTGTGTGTGTGGCATACATGTGGGGGTGTTGCTGTGTTGTGTGGTGAGCGGTGTGTGGTGAGTGTGGTGTGTGGTCTCTGTAGCGAGTATGATGTGAGATTATGTGTGGTATGTAGTGTGTGTATGGCATGTACGATGTGGTGTGTGTGTGGTATGAATGGTGGTGTGGTGTGTGGTGTGATGTGGGTGGTGTGTGTGGTCCCTGTGGTGAGTGTGATGTGAGATATGTGTGGTATTTAGTGTGTTTGTGGAGTGTGTGTGGTGTGGTATGGTATGGTATGTGTGATCTGTGTGGTATGGTGTGTGTATGGTGTGGTGTGGTGTGTGGTGAGTAGTGTGTGTGATGTGTGTGTGTAATGTGGGTGGTGCATGTGGTATAGTGGTGTGGTGTCTGTGGTGTGTGTGTGTGCATGCTGTGGTGTGGATTGTGGTGTGGTGTGCGGTGTATGTGGTATGTGTGGTGTGGTGTGGATGGTAGTGTTGTGTGTAGCATGTACAGTGTGGTGTGTGTGGTCTCTGGTGAGTGCGATGTGAGGTAAGTGTGGTATGTAATGTGTGTGTTTGTGGTGTGTGTGTGGTATGGTGTAGTGTCTGTGTGGTATGGTATGTGTGTAGTGTGGTGTGTGTGTGGTGCGGTATGTGGTGAGTGGTGTGTGTGTGTGTGTGATGTGGGTGATTTATGTGGTATGGTGATGTGGTGTGTGTGGTATGGTGGTGTGTGTGTGTGTCTCTGTGTGTCTCATGTATGTGTATAAGCATCACGTTATTTTACCCCAAGGACCCACTCTTGGCAGGATTGTGGAGCCTCCCTTCTTCCCTTCCTCTGGGACTCCATGTCCTTCCCGTCGTGAAGCACAGGCCACGGGGACCTGTAGCCACCACTAGCTGCAGGGTTTAAGGCACAGTGGGAGGAAGCCTGTCCTTCCAGAGTCCACTGGAAAAGAGCACAACAAAATTAACTCACATGGTAGAGAGAGAGAAGCAAGTCCAGGCCAAGACTAAGCAAACTTGGGCCTTTGAGCTAAGCAATGTCAAGGCCAGCCTCCAGCTGCAGGTGTCCTGCAGAGGACAGGGCCAGACCTCACAGTATTGGGACCGTGGGCTCTGTGGAAACTGCGACAGGCTGGACACCCAGTGAGCCAGGCAGGATCGTGTCCTCATGAGAAGGCTGGAGTGTCTGTGGTAGGAGGCAGGAGGTGATGGCTGGAGGAATTGCCCAAGCACCTCACGAGCACAGTCTCAGTGCAGGCTGCCTTAACAAAGCATCATGGACAAGGAAGCTTATGAACAAATCCACCTTATTTCTCACAGTCCTGGAGACTGAAGCATGAAAGATCACGGCACAGCACCAGCAGATTGGTGTCTGGTGAGGGTTCTTTCCTAGCTGAAGGATGGCACATTCTGACTGTGTCCTCACATGGGGGAAGGGACGAGGCAGGTTTCTGGATCCCTTTTACAAGGGCACAAATCCCATTTACCAGGGCTCGACCCTCTGACTTCATCGCCTCCTAACACTATCACTTTGGGAGTGAGGATTTATTTTCAAGGACACACACGTTCAGTCCATAGTGGTGCCTTTGTCTAAGCACAGACGTGACTCTCAGGAGTTCTTGCCATTTCAGCACAAAGCTTCCCATTCAGTGGGATTTGCTGGTTCTGTCAACTGAAGTATGATGAGGTTCCTAAATTTGGAAAAGGGAGCCTTATTCTCATAAAGTGCCACAGGCTGTGGGGTGGCCATTCTGACTGCCTAGGAAGATAGCCTCAAGTCAGAGGCCAGAAACAGGCATTTGGAGGGAGAAGCAAAGGGCATGGGAATTCATGCTGAGACAGGAGGTCAAATATGCATATTCAATAGGCTACAGGTAGAGTCATTCATATTTATGAGGAAAGCCACAGGTTTGTGCTGTTGACCTTCATGCCTCTTCAGAGGACCCACGTTCAACAAATGGCCGCCTTTCTTAGCATGATCCGGGGTGTAGTTCTTGGCCCTCTGATGTCAAAAGGTGCAGCAGAAGGCACGAAGACCCTTACTGTGCCTCCACCTAGACTTGTCAGAGCCACTCAGTGACCAGTGGTCTCTCATCAGGAAGAAATGCTGGTGGGTTGTTCTGCAGAAACCTCAAAAGGGAGGGTCAGCATCAGCTGGTTGGTTGATGTCAGTGGTGGAGTCTTTTGAAAGGGCTGCTTTCTATTCGGTGTTAGGGAGAAAGCCTAATTATGGTTAGCTAAGGGAGAGGGTAGAACCAGGCATGTCTGACCTCTCATCCCATCACGGCTAGAAATTCATTCTCCAAAATTACTCTTGCGACCCCTTGGCCAAGAGGTGGTCCATTCAATCAGTTGGGTCTTAGGATTTTATTGTTAGCTTACAGTTGTAAATGGCATTAATTCTAGGACCAGACACCTGGAGTCAACTAGGTGTCCATTCTGAGTACCTGTGCTGGGACTGGAACTGGCAAGGAAGGAAGGTGGACAGCAGATGCTGCCATGTACTTGTGTGAGGCGAAGGCATGGTTTATCTCAACTTATATGGAGCCTTGGTTTTAACATCATCTCTTGGGCACACTTAGGTGAAAATAAGGGTAGACTCTTACTTTAGTTCAAAATTAGCCTATGCTAATTACTTGCATGCCTTGAGAAAATTTTGTTAAACATTTTTAAATAAATAGTAACTTATTGCAGAAAGTCACTCCTTGGAACACATCCACACACTCACTCATGTTTTCACATCTTTAAAATGAAGTCCCACACAACCTACTTGATTAACCCCATGTTATAATTTAGAACTAATTTTCAAGGTATCATGAGGTTTGAAGGTCAAAGACAAGACTGACAGGTTGAACCACTTAACAAACTCCTGGGGCAAGTCGCCCCGACTCCCTTGCTGTCATCTCTCCACATTCAGCCACTGCACCCAGCACAGGCCCCACTGAAGTTCTCACATTCCTATGGTCATTGGTGACCCCGTTTGCGGTGGCCCTCAACATTTTATCATATTTATACTCTCCTCACAGATTCGTAGAATGAAGACATGAATACATGAACACACTTTGTTTCCCCCCTAAGCTTTAAAAGCCTTGTTTTCAGCTCCATAGTAATTCTGTTTTGATTACAACAGATACAAACCTGCAGGAAGTGTTACCCAGAAGCCTACCTCTGTGATAAGGCATCTTCAGCTTCCCAGTACCCACAAAGATAAGGGAACCTAAGAAAAACAAGATTCACAACTATCCTCTCTCTAACATTTATAGCCATTCATTTATTTGTAAATTAAGTCTGTGATTTTATTCAATATTTATTCATTTACCTCATCCACTATTTCCTGCTCAAACATGTACTGCTATTAAACATCTTCTACTGGATATCTGTTGACACACTGATTAATAGGTATCATACTAAACCATCTCATAGATATTCAAGTTCTTCTTAATGCATGGGTAAGAATCCACTGACTAATAAAAATTATCACTTATTTCAAAGTCCTATGAATATATTGCACTTATGTTAAATACAGGCAAAGAAAATTTACATGTATGTTTGTGTCTGCCCCTTTCAGTTTCATAACTCTTCAGGGGACCCATGCTTAATAAATGATGGCCTTACTTATCATAATCAGGGGGTGGAGTTCTTGGCCTGCTGATGACCAGTGGTGCAGCAGAGGACACGAAGACCCTGCCCGTGCACCCACCCAGACTTGTCAGTGGTCTCAGTGGCCGTGTTCTCTTATCAGGAAGAAATGCTGGTGGGTTGTTCTGCGGAAACTCCAAAGGGACTCTAAAACACTTTAGTTGGAAATAAAAATATAGGTTAAAAAAATCTCTTTGGATAAGAAAGGGGAAAGTTGTACTGGGAATTCATTCATTCCTGTTTCTAATTAAATTAGGAGATCAAAATGTATGACAAAGTAAGGAAATGTCCAGTGGAAGAGTATTCACATCCACCCCATGTTACATTTCTTATCTCTTCTTTCTTCTGTCATCCGGCCTGGATTCCTTGGTGGTGCCGTTCACAGCTCTGGAGCCTGTTCCGACACTGGCAGAAAATCCATTACCAGGCATTGCTCCACCATCCTCCTGAGACCACACCCAGTGGCCTCGCCATGACTGTCAGCAGATGGAGGGAGGGCTTGGGAGAGCCCTGTGATTCTAGGGTTAAAGCGATACTCTCCCCAAAGCTACCTGACATGGAGTCATTTTGTATTATTAAAGATAATGCACTGAAATCACAAAATGACCATTTGCTTGAGTTTCACTTTATAACCAGTGCCTTGGTATAATATAGCTGCAGTTACAGTAACTATTATAAAGTATTGGTATCAAAGACAGATTTGAAGGGACAAAGGAGGTATTTACATAAACTAATCAGAGAACAGAGGAGATAGCGTCTTCCCTATCCCCAAGACCGTGGCCTACTCACCTTGGTTATCTATTTGTAAATTGTTTGGTATAAGCTGTTGTGTTAAGAATAGACAAACAGGTCGTGAGAAGAGAAGCAGTCCTGTTGGTCTTAAAAGACCCTGTACTTTTGGGCATTGATCCAGAAGGAAAGCATTCTGTTTAATGCTCAGTTACGTCTATCCTCAAGACCCTGTGAGTGTGAGTGTGTCTTCATAGGCACTAAGCAAACTGACATCATTTTGAGTACAACTCAGGCCTCAAAGCCAGTTTCCACTAGGTTGAGCAGGAAGCCTGACTCTCTCACCATGTCTGGGTGCTGTTGAGGCCATGGCGTCAAGGGCACTCTGGAGTTAATTGCTTCCATTCTTGCTTTGTGTTTCAGATAGGACCAAATGAGAGATCAGGACTTCAAGGCAAAGGGCGAACCTGGGAGATAATTTAAATGTCATTAATTCGTTGAGATTCTTAATCTTATTTTTCTGAATAGTTCATTAAATAGGTAGTAACACTTTTGGTTATATGCCTGGGAACATCTCAAAAAATTGATAGACTTTCTGAGCTCCTCATGGGCAAGGCCTCTTTTAGAATAATTCATATCTGTTAGTCAACTTGTAAATTATTCATTTTTTGATTAATATGCTAATTAAACATTTGCTGTTAAAAAGGTATAAATATCTTTCATTGCCTAAAGTAATTAGAATATGTAATTTAAGCATTATAATTCTGATGTTAAATAATTACTATGAGAGAAAAGGGAAGAAGATATAAAAATATGCTTGATATAATTTCAAATGTTGGACCAAATAACAATATTTCATGTTGTTTATGTAAATATAGACATATGCTTTGGAAGGCTGTAATACCTATTTCCTTTTGGACGAGTCATCGGTTTTCATTTCACTGACAATCTAGAAATATAATTTTTGCTCTTCTCTAGCCTCTTTTAAAAAGAAAATATAAATTATTTCAATCCATCTATCATGTAACTGTGTGTATTTTATTTTAAACTTTATTCAACAGTGAATTTTTACGTGACTATTATGACCAAGTGTGATGCCAAGTGCTGGGGATGCCAAGCTGACCAGGGCTTGGAGTGATCCACACAACTTGCAAATTTTTGGGGTATCACTCGGATCACTAGAGTACAGAATCTTGCCCATCTAGTAGGCAATAATGTGTAAACTTTAGATCATATGACTTTATCCGGTAAAAAAAAAAAATCACTGATACATAGTCTATAATACATGTACATGTATTCCTATAATTAATACATGTTTTATTACTGTAAGCAAAAATTTTAAGGTCAATTTTTCTGTGAGATTAGGCTTTGACATTCCCAAATTTGCAAGTTGATGAATGCATAGAAAAATATCAAAACCCATGTCTTTATCACTAACATATTTTCAACTATGGATCTGAGCCACTTAACTTATGTTCTAAAGAAAAGCATAATTTCTAGATTTTAGTTATTCATTCATCTATCCACCAATATGACACTTGCACGTTTCTTAATAAATTCAATACGTAAGGGTAAAATATACATGTTGGATGAGTTAGATAATGAATAATTGTGGCTGTAAATCCATAATTAAAATAATCTTCTTGATTATTTTGGTTTTGGGGTTCTAAATGTCTATAATACAATTGAAAGTGAACTTGTACGAGGCATTTGAAAGAAGTTTTGCCATGTTCTTATTGATGACTTTGTAATATCATCTTTAATCCATGTCTTCTAGGTAGACATTTTCAAACCACTTGTACATTTCTCTGTGTTACTTAATTAAAGCCAAATAATAGAATCTGTAAATCCTATTAACCAGGCACTCAGGGATGTATATTAGCAAGTTAAAAGAGTCAGTAGAGTCCATCTGTCATGGAGCTCTGCCCTTCCCTGGGCACAACTCATGTGTCAGATATGACACTTGGTTATGGGTGAAAGTACCAGTCTCAGTAGTAAATCCATTATTATTAATGTAGTTTTAAAAATAATTTAGATAAAAATTCTTATATTTCCAAATTTAATGTGTTCTTCTTCTAACTCAGTTGGTCACCTTGCACATCTCAGAACCATGTGCCCATGTTTGAAAACAGAACATTAAAGTACAGCCAAATGCCACTTTCTTCCACTAAGATATTCCTAATCCTGCCATCCTGAAATCCTGACTTCTTTTAATACCTCATGGTCTTTTACTGGCTCTGGTTTGTGACAACCACTTTAATTTCATGAAATAACAGCTAATATGTAATATTTGCTAATCACAGGCATTCCCTTTATATCTTCCAATGATCTGGTGGCCACTGAAGATCAGAAATCTTCTCCTATTCATGTTCGCATCATCCTAGCACCTAACTGTGAACTGTATGCCATGAGGGTTCTTTATAAATGCCAATAAAAGAATGAGCAAATATGCTATCTGATCTAAACCTTCCAGTGTGTACAGGACAAGATAGGATAGGCGGCCTTGAGACTCCATGGAGCATGACATGACTAAGACAAGGGAACAAGGGGACAATTGTGGTTTTTGGTGCAGAGAAGAACCCTGGGCCAGGACTCATGATTTTTATCCAGAACTCCTGTGTAACATTTAGGTGATGTAGATGGCTCTTTGTCATTCGTCTTTTTGCTTTATTGATAGAGTATCTTCAAATGCAAACAGAAGAGATTGTAAAGCGCATTTGTGGGCAGGGTTGGTAATTTTTCTGGATCAGAATAAAAAATATAACTGAGTACCTTGAATACAATTTCTCTTATAGTATATGTAACTCTATACATAATAACACATAGTGGAATCATTGGAACCCGACACACTCAGATTGAATCTCTGAGCTATTATCTGTGGTCAGATAACTGGTGAAGTTACTTCTCCTGTCTATGCCTCAGTTTCCTCCTCTGTAAAACGGATGTAAGCATACCAACTATCAGACATAGTTGTCAGCCTTGTATGAGGTGATGAATGTTGATCTTTGACCTATTCCCCTAATTATAATTGAGCAAGAATCAAACTATTACCAAGCTTATTTCATTAAGAAAAACATGTCATTTTTAAAATAACATTGAAAAATTAGCCCAAGACAACAATTCAAGAGCTGAGAAGAGCTTCCGTGAGTGAATACAGTTTTTATAAAAAGGAATAAATAAATAAATCATTGAGGGGGACAGCCCCACAGTAATTATTAGGGAAAAATACAAAAGAAGACAAGTGATGCACATTTTCTTTTCTTAATATGTTTTCTTAAGATTTGCTGCTTCCTATATTACTGTTGTAAAATGTTATGGTTAAACTCTTACGAATTTCCTCATTTTTAAAAAGCAAAGCCTGTCAAGTGGTTCATGAGCTGAAATATGGAGATAAATAACCAAAGAACTAGGAAAAATCTTAGGACCTAAAAGGTGCCCAGGTAGAGCAAATACACAGTTTATACACTGTAAGGGCAGCAAGGGTAGTTTATAAAGTAATATTGAGCATATCTGAGTTTTTACAATTTCTTTGTTGTTTTGCCTTTGCCTCCTTTACCCAACAATAGACAGAGGCTAATGAACAGGTGTCTTCCAAATGCCTGAACTCCAAGAGAAAACAGTATTTGTAAAAGAACACGAAATATTCAAATGAAGACATGTCCTTGCTATGGTACATTTTTCCCATTAGGAAGAGGGATTGGTATAGAGAACAGGCATTTCTCACCTCACTTGGCCCCCCCCTTCTCTCTCCAAGGGTGGTCTCTGGACTATTTGCATCAGTCTCCCCTGGGAATTTGTGAGAAATCCAAATTCTTGGACCCATCTAAAACTGACTAGAGCTGAAAATCTTAAAGTCAGGCCCAGCAATCTGCGTTTGAATGATCCCTTTAGGTGGTTCTGATGTACATTCAAGTTTGAGAACCACTGATCTGTACACTTGACACATTAAAATATGAGTGACCATCCTCATGTTAACACCATGCAACATCAGGATTCGAGGGTGCTGGTAGCCCAGGATGCTACCTGAGTTGCTCTATGAACATCTTTGTTTACTACCTGTGCCTTATTGTTGAATTTTAATATAAATAGCTGGCTAGCTAGACAGACACAGATGTAGATACAGACAGTAGATGCAGAGAAGTGTAGACCTGTATTTCAGCTCCAAGTTAGTGATTAATCACAGAGAAGAGAACCCAAGACAGGATGGCAACAGACTTGGATTCCTATGGAGCAGAATTTGAATGAAGGTTGTTTGCTTCCTTCTCTTCTCTCTCTCCAGTCTCCCATAGTGCTTCTTTCTCCCCACACCCCTCCAAGCTGATGGTTGTTTTGTCAACATACGTGAGATGAACATGCAGATTAAAGAATCTCTTAGGTAAAGGTAGACAAGCTTTCCCAACCCATTTATTTTAGTGAAGAGAAAACCAAGGCTCAGAGAGAACCCTCTTGCTCAACTGGGTTTTACTAACTGTTTGGAGTGCCTCAGAGAATTAGCAAGAAAATGCTCCGTTTTCTGCTCTATGAGTACTGGAAAACAATGCTGTTTACCCAGGGAACACTCAACAAAGCCAGGGAACACTCAACAAAGAGCAGCTGTTGGTGCCACTCAGCCTGAATGCAGGCATCTTGATAACAATAGATGGCAAAGCTAAAGTTCACAAAGGTGAGGATTTAATTCTCTTCTCAGGCTTCAGGCTATTTATTTTCATAATGCCTGAAATGCTCTCTACATCTTTGAGGAAATGCACACTCTCAGTGCCTTTTTCAGAAAAAAGAAAAAGTACGGCATTATTCTGAAGAGTAATTACATTTAAAATATGATAATCTAAATTATAAAAAATTGTCTATAAAATTTTTATATAATAATTTTGCAAAAAATAAGAAATACATCTTTTTCATTAAGCTTATGAATAAAATAGAAAAGCTTATTCATTCCTTTCTTCTCCAGAGATTTGCATAATGTGTAGCTATAATAGATGCTCACTAAATCTGTTAATTGGATGATAGAATGAATTAATACAGAAAAAAACCCTCACTGTTCATGAGTTGAGTCTCAATTTCTAAGAATTCATTTATTCGTGACATCTTATCACACCACCATCTGAGATAGAAGGTAATATTTGCTTCAACAAATTTCTATTGAGTATCTAATATATACTCAACACAGACTTCTAAACAAATACTTGTCAGTGTTAGGTAATAAATACAACAAAAATATTATTTACTTGGCACTAAAATAATATAGGCGGTAGGATTTATTTTTTCCATAGGGTCAAGAAATTCTTGTACCTAAAAATAAAATTGAAGCTGGTTTTGAAGAATGAGTGTGAGTAGTGAAAGCCAGAAAATGGAGGGCCTTTCAGGAGCTAGGAAGGTTGTGCACCAAGGTTTAGCCATTCAAAGGTGGCATCTTGCATCTGCTCTGCTGTGTTTTTTGAATGAACGACAGTGGTCCAATTTCTGGAATTGATCAAGAGGTACTTTTTTTTTTTAACCACATGTTTGAAGGAGGAGCCTATAAATCCAGCAAACGCTTATTCCAAGACACCTTTCTGAATGTTTCCTTGGATACTGGATGTAGATGCCCTCCAAGAGACCAACTCCTCTATGAACTACTTAAGTAGTTCTCTGTGTATATACAGTCCTTGAAACAAACGATGTTATCTTATTTTCAATGATAAACTGCCTGCTCTTCTCTTCTCTCCTAGCACTGTCCTGATATTTTCTGTAATTGTATTAAACAGATTCATTCTAGGAACACCTTTACTGTAATTATCGTTAAGGAAATGAACTTCACACCAATATCCAGACCTGCAAGATTTTATCTGAACATCAATGTTGAATTATTAGTTTGTAACATTGGCCAGGTTGGTGAGAAAATAAGTGCATGGAAGCCAGACTGAAGAGATATGAATCAGCAAGCTCTGATTACTGGAAACAGCCTTTGAGATCCTTTGCTAGGCATTATGCTGTACAGTGTCACTTGAATTGCTACCTGGCATCATTGGCAATAAAATGTCCTCGCAGAAACATATAGTTTCCTGATGAGCATGCACTCACAGCAGGAAACAAGGAATATCGTCTTACTTCATTTGATTCATTACCAACATGTTCTTTCATGCAGTAGATTTGCAGAGGTTTTATTACATTTAGAATTTCAGGAGATATTTTATAATGCTCATTAAAAGGATTATACAACAGAGAATGTCTTTCTCATGAAGAACTGCACTAAAGCCAGTTACTACACCAAGTTGTACCATAGATTGGTTAACTTGTGGGTTAAATGACATCCTCCTATGATAATAATGACTTGCAGAAATATACTAATCCTTTATTTTTACTTTTATTATTATTTTTTTTAGACAGGGTCTTGCTCTGTCACCCAAGTTGGAGAGCTGTGGCGATCTCAGCTCACAGCAACTGCCTTCTCCCAGGCTCAAATAATCCCCCCACTTCTCAGCCTCCCAATTACCTGGGACTACAGGCATGCACCACCACTCCCAGCCAATTTTTGTATTTTTTGTAGAATAGAGATTTTGCAGTGTTGCCCAGACTGGACTTGAAATCCTGAGCCCGAGCAATCCACCTGCCTGCCTTGGCCTCCCAAAGTGCTGGTATTACAGGCGTGAGCCATGGTGCCTGGTCTAATCCTTACTGTTTATTGAGAACATGTTTAGAAATGCCAGTTAGTAAGTGAAAGAGCCATGATTCAAACACTGCTGCTGCCAAAGCCCAGATGCTTTTACCTTCTGTGTATACTTGTATGTGGGGGTAGAAGGAGGATGTCCTCTGTCTACACTAGCCAGAAGCACAACTGCATGTCTTCAACTCCCTCATCCCTTACCCTTTGTTCTTATCACAGTAACCTTTCTTGGGTCCTCTGTCACCTAAACAAGCTGAGTCCCAGTTTACTCATAAAAAAAAAAAAGGAGTAGAGTAATAATTCTTATTGCAGAGGGTCATTCTGAAGGTTAAATGTAATCATGTCTGTAGATTGCTCAGTGCATGCACATTTAATTCTGTCTCCATTTTGTGCCTCCTTGTTATGAAAATTTGCTCAAGGGATTGTGCTTATTTCTGTGTTTATTGTTGTTGTTTCAATCGTGCTGGTGTTTAGGATCATTGAGGACCCATGACTACCTTCTTGATTCTAGCTACAGGAGTATTAATATAAATGGGGAACAGACTCTGACTCCAGGGTCTTCATCAGTGGAGTGCAAGGTACACAGAAACAACTCTGTGTGTTAAGCTCCACAACAGCAATGTGAGATAAGGTCTGGGAGGTCACAAAGAATAAATAAGAATTGTACATGCAAGTCCTAGGGAAAGAGTGTGGTCCTGATGTTAACACCTTTTCTTCTCCATTTTATTGCCTTAGGCTATTAGTTACTTATCACATACCCCTAATAGATATCGATAAGACATAGTTGTCAGGGGCAATGCAATCCATCAAAAGACTCTCCTCTGAGTCTTGTTTTTTAAAAATATATTGTTGGTTTATAGGTTTAAAAAGTATATAAAAATATCTGGATCTACTGTGTTAAACAAGTAAAAAGTAAATTTATTTTGTCATTCCTTGTTAACTACATTAATTGATAGTATCTATCATCTATTTGTAGACAATCTTATTGTTAAGACTTTTAAATAATGAGTCTGGGCTGCCCAGAATTGCTGACACTTACTGAATACATAAGATAAGGTCTCTGTCAAATGTACTTTTTAAGTGATATTTCCCATGAGTCTGACCATATGCTATTGCACTGTCATTTTCTTGGTATCATGGAAACCTGTGCTTCCATTTTCCATGCTGGGGATGTTGCAGGGCTTAGGACCTTTGCCACCAGGAGCATGTACAGCTGACAACACCAGCTCTGTGGCCACTGGGCTGTACTGCAACCCGGGACCTCCCAGATAGTAATCATCCCGGACAGGGCTGGTTTGTAGCAGCTCCTCTATCTACCCTTGAGAGAAAGATTGCAGGGAGTGAGATAACAGAGTCGATTTTCCTAGGGTAAAAGCTCTCAAAAGTAAACATTCCAAAGCATTGTATATCTGTGTCTATTTTTCTTTAGTCTTTGATTACAAACAGGCAAACATTTCCCGGGAGCGTTGATAGCACAAGTGTGGCTTGCAGAGTAGAAAGGATTTTTCATGTTAGCATGGGGACACCTGAGTGTGAAAAAATATAACCTTTCCCTCCCCTTAGCTCTTAAGATAAGTGCAGAGCTTGAAGCCTTTTATCTGTGGCCATTTATTTATTTTTATATGTCTTTTAAAAACTACAACTTGCTTCATTTTCTTCCATGACAATTTCATGAAAGGCTGTGTCTTTAAAGCAGCGGTGTCTTTACTGCAGTGTGAGTTTTCACGGCGGTGGACGGACTCCTTGCTGGACGTCAGCCCTGCCCCTGGCATGCGTAGCCCCGAGCCTGGGCTCCTGCCCCACAGAGACAGGCAGTGGAATGACAGCGGCACCACCAGGGCTCAGGACTCTGAGAGACCCCTGCGTCCAGATCCCGACTCCCCTGCTTCAGAGGACGAACATGGCTCCAACTTTCTTGCAACTGAGAAAATGTTAGCCAATTGCCTAACACACAGAGGTGAACTGTTGATGATTACTCGTTATAAATGAAGTGACTTTTGACCCAGCATAAACCCTAGCACATTGCACACCCACCCTGTCTCTTGAGTCAAAAGACGCTGTACCGCCCAGATGCACTGGCCCGCAGAGGAGCAAAGGCGGCTCCCTGGAGGGAGAGAGGATGGTCCATGTCCTGGGGGCTCCAGGCATCCCCCTCCCTTCTAAGGGGACATAGAACATCTGAGGAAAGTTGATAACTTTCTCAAGAATCAGCTCATTTCAGCACAAATCTTGATGTATAGATTTGCTTAATAAAATGAATTTATGAATGAGGAATGAGGGACATCACGCTTGAAAAGTTTCATTCAAAAAACACCGAAGAAGAATCCCATCCACTGAGGAGGCAGAAAGTGGTCAGAAAGTGTTACTTTCACACAACTGGTAAGAAAACGTTAATATAGTTACAGAATTATAACCTGTCCGAGTCCCCCGAGGAAGTGAAAAAACCCACAGACGAGAGAAGGGACTCAGAACCCCGTTCACATTTGGCAGAGTTGGGAGGTGAAGGTGACGGACATAAAGGCACTGAAGAAGACTGTGGACATTTCTTCGCTTTCTGAAAGCCAGGTGTAGGCTGATGGCACAGAGCCTGGGTCCCCAGAGCCTCAGAGAGTCCTCACTCAGGAGTGCCTGCCCCTGGGGCAACAGCCCCCCAACCTCCCACCTCTCCAAGGCCTGCACTACCACACTTGGTTCTCAGTTGGCCAGAGTCTAGAAATCGTGAATATATTTATCCTCCTTACAGAAGCAGAAAGGCCCTAGAATATTTTAATTCCTCTCTTCTTGTCTTGATTATATGTAATAGTTTTGAGTATTTTATCTGCATTGTATTTTAACCTGATGAAATGCTGGTATTATTCTAAGTCAAGCTTATTTATATTAATCACATACTTATCATTCTTCCCTCTTTATTCCTCCTTCAAAACTTTCATCCGGGATTACTTTCCTTCGACCTGAAATACAACCTTTAACATTTCCTTTAAAGCAGATCTTCTGGTGGCTCATTCTCTTATTTTTTTTTTATTTGTCTGGATTTTTTTTTTCCCTGTCCTCATTCTTAAATTAGGTCATATAATTACAGGTTGAGAAATGTATTTTCTTAGCACATTGAAGGTACCTCACTGAAATCTGGTTTCCATTCTTGACATTAAAAATCTTGTTGGCCAGTCATGATGGCTCACACCTGTAATTCCTGCACTTTGGGAGGCCAAGGTGGACGGATCACTCGAGCTCAGAAGTCCAAGATCAGTCGGGGCAACATAGTAAGACCCTGGCTCTATCTACCGCCCCCGCTCCTGGACAAAAAAAATCTTGTCAATTTAACTCTGGCTCTTTTGCAGATACATGTCTTTTTTGTCTTGCTACTTTCTAGGATTTATTTCTACACTATCAATTCTGTTCCATTTATTTATAATTTTTCTCATTGTAGTAAATTTCAGTGATATTTCTGATGTTGAACATGTTTCTTACATTACTGAGATAAACACAAGTTATTAAGGTGTATATTTTAATACATTTATTTGTTTTATCTAATACATATTTAAGGGTTTGCATTTATAATCATAAATGAAATAAGTTCTGAAGTTTTTCATTTTCCTCCATTTTTATAATCGAACTTGTATTAACATAATAAAATGTTCATTTTATTAAATAGTTAAGGGTAGGGAGAGGAAAAAGTGTTTATAAGATCTTTGATAACTGTTTCAAATCCATTTAAGGTTGTTAGTCTACTCAGGAATTTTGTTTCTTTTCAACCCATTGTTAACATTCTGTATGTTCTAGCAACTCATCTATTACACTTGGACCACCAAAGTTATTCATATATACTTATTTTATTTATTTTTTCTATAATCTCTGTTATCTGCTTGGCTGTTTCCCAATTTCTTAATTTAGTGTTATATTTTCTTCTGTTTTTCTTTTCTTTTTTTGCAATGCATGGTGCATGAGCTTGTTACATCCAACAACTGGGGTTGTTAAACTTCTTAATTGTTTTGTTTTTGACATTATTTGATGACCTGGGCTTGTAAAACTCCTTTATTGCTTTTTTTCAGGCATTACTTTCTGTTAAACTGATTTCTGCCTCATATTTATTATATTTGTCTTTTCTACTTTCTTCAGTAGTTTAATTTGTTCATCTTCCAACAATTTCTTTTGAAATCCTAGCTCATTCATGTATTCTGACGAATGTAAAGGTATAACATTATTTTCATGATCTGATGTTAGTATGTGCTCCAAATACTGACACATAGCATTTACATTGTTGATTTATAATTATTTCCCAATTTTGTCAATGTTGTTTCTCAACTCAAATTATTTTGTAATGTTATATAATTTTCAGATACCTGAAATTTCTTTTTGCTTTCATTTAGTTAGCATTTTCTCATTTTATTGCTTTAATAAAGTGGGTATAAAGTTGATCCTTGGAAATTAATGTGTGTGTGTTTGTGTGTGTGTACACTAGTGCCCAGTAAAATTTCATGAATAATTCATATATTATTTTAAAAACAAAATCTCTGTTTTCTGTAAAGTTCATGAACACACATATATATATATATTAAAGCTTATTGTTATTCATATCTTCTATGTCTTTGCTTATTTTTTACTTTCTTGTTCTACCTATTTAGGAAAGTTATGATAAAGAATTCCCAACTATATTTGTTAGTTGATATATTTTACCTGGTAATTTTACCTGTTGTTGCTTTATTATTTGGGGTAGGTTATGTTAAAAATTCACATGTTCATCATTATTATTTTTTCTTGACACATTTTTTTTCTCTTGCTGATGTGAAATGTCCCTTTCTATTCATTGTCATTTTTTGTCTTAAAATTAAATATATTTTTTGGTAGTCAAAAAATATCTTTGCTCTATACTTTGCTCTATACTTCTTAGCTATGTTTTTTAATTTTCAAACTTTATGTATCTTGTCTTTCTGTTTTTAAGTATTTCTCTTATAGAAAACAAGGGCAGAGAATTGTATTGTATTGTTTTTTTATTTCATTTTAAACAATCCTGAGATTTTATATTTTGGTTAGTGGATTTAATTCATTAGCATTTATTGTAATTACCAAATCTTCATTCCCAAACATGCTTTATAACTCTATCTTTGTGTTTTCTAGTATTTCTCACTTTCTTTTTTTATTTTTATTTTTTGGACATCAATTACAAAAAATAAACGGGTACTTCTGCTTACAGCATAAAATCATTATGGGTATATGCAAAATCCTTTCTTAGTTTATGAGCTCATTTACTATTTTATCTATTTGCTTGTTTATTTTTCCTTTTCTTATATTCCTGTCCTACATGCTTATTTCCTTCCCCACTGTAGAGAACGAACTCATTGTGTTCCGTTGTGACTATCATTATTATTTGACTATGATTTTGTAAAATATCTACTGTCGTTTTATACTGTGACTTTGAGCAAAATACTGTAATATCATGCGTCTCCTTCAATTTATTTCTTTTGTCTACTCTTAGTGCCATATGTTGAAGATTCATACATATTACTCCTAACCACCTTTTATAAGCTTAGACTCATATATCTCAGTGTAAACTGGCTATTTACACTAATGGCTACAACATCTCATAAGAGACACCCAAATGGAAAGTCATCAGGTTTACTGAAAATGGACTTTTCTTCCCACATAAACTATGACATAATCCCCCCACCGCCTGCCCAAGTATAAAAATCTCACAGTGAAAACAGAAATCTAAACTCTATTATGGACTAAGTCCGCGTCTTCATTCACTGTATTAGAGTATTCAGTTAATCACCCAGTGCTGTAGGTTTTATTTCCTGAACGGGTCTCGGATCACTACCTGTGACTAAGTGAAGTACCTCATTGCCTCTGTCTATATCATTGTAAAAATAATCTAAGAGCCCACCTCTTTAAGCCTCCAGAAGTGGCTCTCTAACATCTTACATGTTGTTTCTGGTGGACTTTCTAGAACACATGTCTGGTTGGCTTATGGGTCTTCAGTGCTTTCTCATCACTTATGGGGTAAAGTCAAAGTTTCCTGGTTAAAACCAAACCATCCCTGCTTTTCCTCTTTCTACTTTTACCTAGACCCTATAATTCAGCCACACACAAAGGCAGCTGATCCCTGGGCCACCTGCTTTACACCTCCATGTTTTGCTATGACAGTTTATCCACGGGGCTCCCTTCCTCATTCTTTTTTTTTTTTTGTGCTTTGCAAAACTACTCATTTTAAAGGATTTAACTCAGAAATCTGCTCTTCTATAGAAGTCTATTCTCCTCTCACCTCTGCCCCAACCTAAATTTAACCTTTCCTCTGCTAGAGTCCCTTTGTTCTTACATTCAGTTTTCTCTGACATCAGAGCATTTAAACTTGTGGCTTCCTTGCTTGGAATTCTCTTCCACAAGCTATTTGCAGAGGTCAACTTTTGCCCAAATACCACTTTATAAGAGAACCTCTCTCTGCAGCACTATAACATGGCAACTCCCCTCCCATATATTCTCCCTCATTCATACCCTCCTTTAGTCGCCTTGACTTGTAATGTTCATGCATTGCTCTGCTGTGGTCTGAGCCTACAATAGTAACAGTCAATGAACTCAAGTGAATTTAATTCTGTTGCACTATGATTTATCTTACTTTAAGTAGACCTATAAATTAGAATATATTCTTTGTTATATCCCAATCAAAATGATGAAAACCTTCTAAAACCTCCATTACAAAGTTATATACTGATTGTGAACATTTGCAAAACATAAACATAGCACAAAAATACCAATAATAATTATTCATAAGCTTCCCACTCAAAGGCAACCATTTATTTCTAGTATTTATCTATCATTGATTTATGTTCATTTTAATGTTTATCTAGTTGTTATTGTTCTAGCTAAAGAATTGTATTTTCTGCACTTTTTTCATGCACATGCTATATATATATATATTCTTTGCAACTATAAACTCTTCATAAATATTACTTTTACACTGTTGTACCTTATTCCATCAAACATAAACATCAAAATATAGTTAATAATTTCAAAGCAGTTGGGACCACAGGCTATTTCCAATTATATAAACATCACACAAGATGTGTATTTTTTAAAGAAATAATTTTTCCTGCATTTTTATTCATTTCTTAAGATAATCTCTTATAAGTATAATTATCAAAATAAGAGATATAAATTATTTTAGGTTTCTTTATGTATTACCCATTTAAAAAATAACTTTTCAAATGAGGTCTAAATTTCAAAAGTTCAGACCAATTTTATGGTCTTAGTGGGCCAACTTTATGGGCTTAGTGTCCTTATGAAACGGTTCCAAAGAAGCTTGTTCTTCCCTTCCACGATTTGAGGACACAGGTAGGGGGCACTCTCTGTGAGCCAGAAAGCGGGCCCTCATCAGATGCCAAATCTGCCAGCACTTTGACTTTGGACTGCCTTTCCTCTGGAACTGTGAGCAATACACTTTTGCTGTTTATAAGCCACGGAGTCTATGTTATTTTGTTATAGCAGCCTGAACAAACTGATACTCAAATAGCTGTGGACTATAACGTATTACAGATACCATGTTCCTTTTTCAAGACAATGAGTTGTTTTATGTGTATTTATATGAATGAAATAATTAATTCTCTTAGTTTATTCACACAAGAGGAATGATCAAAGAGATTTTAATATAATTGCCCTGTGTATTAGTCAGTTCTCACACTGTTATAAAGAAATACCTGGACTGGGTAATGTATAAAGAAAAAAGGTTTAATTGGCTCATAGTTCTGCAGACTGTACAGGAAACATAGCAGCTTCTGGAGAGATATCAGGAAACTCACAGTCATGACAGGGAGTGAAGGTGAAGCAGGCACATTTTACATGACTGGAGCAGGATAAAGAAAGACATGGGGAAGATGCTATACACTTTTAAACAAACAGATCCCCTGAGAACTCTATCATGAGAACAGCATCAAAGGGGAAAACCTGCCCCCATGATCCAATCACCTTCCACCAGGACCCACCTCCAACATTGGGGATTATAATTCAACATAAGATTTGAGTGGGGACGCAGGTCCAAACCGTATCATTCCACCCCTGGCTCCTCCCAAATCTCATGTCCTTCTCACATTGCAAAATACAATTATGTCTTTCCAACATCCACCAAAGTTTTAACTCTTTACAGCATTACTCAAATGTCCACAGTCCAAAGTATCATTGGAGACAAGGTTAGTCCCTTCCACCTATGAGCCTGTAAAATAACACCAAAAAAAAATTAGTTACTTCCAAGATACAATGGAGTTACAGTCATTGGATAAATACTACAATCACAAAAGAGAAAAACTGGCCAAAAGAAAGGGGCTACAGGCCCTTTGCAAGTTTGAAACCCAGCAAGGCAGTAATTAAATCTTAGATCTCTAAAATAATCCCCTTTGACTCCATCTCTCACATCCAGAACACACTGGTGCAACGCGTGAGCTCCCAAAGCCTTGGGCAGCCCCCTCCCTGAGGCTTTGCAAAGTACAGCCCCTTCTACCACCTCAATTGCTTTCATGAGCTGACATAAAGCCCCTGTAGCTTTTCCAGGCACAGGGTGCAAGCTGTCGGTGGATCTGCCATTCTGGGGCCTGGAAGATGGTGGCCTCTTCTCACAGCGACTCTGGGTGGTTCCCAGTGGAGAATCTGCTTGGTGGTTTCAACCCCACATTTCTCCTCTCCACTGCTCTAGTAGAGGTTCCCTATAAGGGCTCTACCCTTGCAGCAGGTTCTGCCTGGACATCCAGGCTTTTCCGTATATAGTCTGAAATATAGGCAGAGGCTCCCAACCCTCAATTCTTGCATTCTGTGTACCCACAGGCTTTAAATTAGCTGAAAACCACCAAGGCTTATGGCTTACATCCTCTGAAGCAGCAGCCAAAGCTCTACCTAGGCCTCTTTTAGCCATGACTTGTGCTGGAGCTGTTAGGATGCAGGGAGCAGTGCCCTGAGCCTTGAAGGAGAGTAGAGTTCTGGATCTGGCCTGGGAAACCATTCTTCCTTTCTAGTTCTCTAGGTATGTGATGGGAAGGGCTACTGCAAAAATCTCTAAAATGCCTTCAAGGACTTTTTTCCCATTGTCTTTGCTATCAGCACTTGCATTCCTTTTAGTCGTGCAAATTTCTGCAGCAAGCTTGAATTCCTCTCCAAAAAATGGGCTTTTCTTTTCTACTGCATGACCACAATGCAAATTCTCCAAATTTTTACAGTCTGCTTCCCTTTTAAATATAAGTTTCAGTTTCAGATCATTTCTTTGCTCATGCATATGAGCATACACTTCTAGAAGCATCCAGGCCACACCTTAAATGCTTTGCTGCTTAGAAATTTCTTTTGCCAGATACACTAAATCATCACTCTCAAGTTCAAAGTTCCACAGATCTTTAGAACAGGGGTGCAATGCCTCCAACCTTTTTGCTAACACATAAAAAAGTGACCTTTACTCCAGTTCCCAATAAGTTCATTATTTCCATCTGTGACCTCCCTCAGCTTGGCCTTCTCTTTCAGCATTTGTGTCACAACCACTCAACCAATCTCTAGGGAGCTGCAAACTTTTCCTCATCTTTCTGTCCTTCTTCTGAGCCCTCCAAACTGTTCCAACTTCTGCCCGTTACCCAGTTCCAAGGCTGCTTTCACATTTTCAGATATCTTTAGAGCAATGCCTCACTCCTTAGTATTAATGTTCTGTATTAGTCAGTTATCATACTAATATAAAAATACCTGAGTCTGAGTAATTTCTAAATAAAGCAGGTTTAATTGGCTTACAGTTCTGAAGGCTGTACAGAAAAGACAGCAGCTTCTGAGGAGGCTTCAGGAAACTTACAATCCTTATGGAGGGCAAAGGAGAAGCAAGCATGTCTTACATGGCCAAATCAGGAGAGACACAGGAGGAAATTCCATACTTTTAGAAATTCAGATCTCATGAGAACTTGATCACAAGAACAGTACCAAAGCGGGAAGCCCTGTTCCATGATCCAGTCACATCATACCAGACCCATCTTCAACACTTCGGATTACATTTAACATGACATTTGGGTGGGGACACAGATCCAAATTACATCACCTTGCTTCCTATATGCTCACAATAGTGAAACCTAGGGCAGTTAATACTGAAACTTTTGTCATAAATATCGTTAGAGTTACAGATTCTCTCTGAATTTTTATTTATCTTAATATTTTCTAGCCATTGTTAATCTTAATTATCCAAGCTCTTTTTACATAGCAAAACTAGATGAATAAAAATTTTATAACATATTCTATGTATCTAATTTATACAGTTTGTATTTTTATAAATAGGTAAACATGACCAATGTAGCTGTGTTTATACAAAAAGAATTTTTTGATTTTTAGATGTACTAATTTCCGGAACATTACCTGCAGAGAGAGAGTACACACTTTTCTTAGATGTAGTTATTCTATGCAGAGATCAGAACTGAGTTGGCATTAGCTAATGGTTTTTATTATCAAGGCCATAGAGTATCATAAGTAAGCATAATTAGTTAAGGTTAGCTGTTGCCTTCTCAATAATTCTGAAGAGTCATCTATTTAATTTTCTTTACATTAGCTGAATATAGTTGTAACAGACTTTAATCTGAATCACTACTAACTAGATGTCTCAAAGCAAACTGAACTGACTTATAATCAATAGCAAATAAAGAATAATGGCTATGAAAGTCATAAAAAGGCCAAATTTCTATAAATCATGTCAGGAAAAAAGTCAAAGTGTATGTTAGTTCAATTTTGGATAATGCATAGCAAAAGCTTGTTATAAATAGCAGAATGTGATTTAGTCCTCACTTGATTTATATGGTTAATGATTATTTTGCTTTCATAGGATAATTTATGGGTAGTTTTAAGAATCTCTTTTATTAGATAAAAAATAAAATTAGAGTGCTAAATACAAACTTTAAAGAAATAATCAAAAGTGCTTTTTCATATTTAAATAGGGAGTTAAAAAGCATTGCCTTGAAGTCATGAAATAAATGCTCTAATTCTACACTCTGCATACAGCACTTTATTTTTAGATCACATTTTATAACCCCTTATTTTTTAACATAAGTTTTCAGAAAGAAGAGTATGATTTACATGTTTAAAACAACCTGACAATACTCTCTCCAGTTTTACAAAATTGAGATGAAAAGTTGAAAATAGTATACAATTTATTTAAGCAAGAGATTATGGAGTTTTACTTTTACTAGAAAATATGTGTACATTAGAAGAACAGGGAGTTCCCTTCTCTCTTGCTGTTAATTGTCTGTTTTAATGCAGTCAGCCAGTTCACTGCTTTGCCCTGCTATTGTAAACATCAAGGTCATTTTGAGGTTCTGCCAAAATGAAGATCATTATCTACAGAGCAGTATTAAAATAGAGTGGCTCAGCCCTGGGGCTGTCAAGAGCTGTGAAGAATGAGCCACTCAGTTAATGCTGTTTCTCTATAAAGGCAGACTGCTGCTTAAGGAAGATTCTTACATAGTCAGGTGAACTGACAGCAACTACTATGGAAATATTTTCCCATGCATGCAAATATGTGTTCAATGTTTGTCAAAGCCCACATGAAAAAAAGCAATGGTGGAGGGATGTGTCACTTGGGTCCTCCAGGAAATAATTGCCAAGACATCAACTTCCAGCACAGCAACAGGGTGATCTCCCTTGACTGTCTCCCCTGGAAAACTAGAAAAAATTATTATCATTACTATTATTATTACTTTCAGACAGGGTCTTGCTCCGTTGCTCAGGCTGGACTGCAGTGGCACAGTCTTGACACATTGCAGCCACCAACTTTTAGGCTCAAGCAATCCTCCCACCTCAGCCTCTGGAGTAGCTGGGAATACAGGCACTGTGCCACTATGCTTGGCTAATTTTTAAATTTTCTGTAGAGATGAGGTCTTACAGTATTGCCCAGGCTGGTCTCAATCTCCTGGGCTCAATTAATCCTCCTTCCTCAGCATCCAAAAGTGCTGGGACTACAGACATGAGCCCCTGAGTCTGGCCACAATTTTTTTTTAATACCACCATTCAAAGGCTCTGGAAATAGTCCTAAGAAAAACAGCCAATGAAGAAATATCTATTCAAGAAAATCTACAAAAAACTTGATAAGACAGCAAGAGTCTATGGTATTTGAACCAAGACATCACCCTCCCTCTACTTCCTAGCTCTGCAAAGCAGAGCCAACTCCAGCCTATTGCAGCCAAGAATGCAGGGCTCCCTCCTCTCTCCCCTACTTCAGCTCTTAGAAGGAAGGCTTTCTTCTATTTAGAAGTAGGACATGATGGTTTTCATTAGACCTATAGCTATGTTGTGTTGTGGCTTAGACTTGGGCAAGGGCAGTCAAGAGATAAGGGCTTCATTCTCTCATCTAGTTCCTGATCATGAAACAATGACTTTACCATGGGTATAATACTGGTTTCTTAATACACATTCCCTTACCTGTAGGTCTATGCTGGAAGAGGCCAACTAACACGTCCATGCTACTGCTGCTCCTTCCATTAAACTCTCATGTGTTAGAGCTGGGATCGCTAGACATAAGCTTGCTGTTGTCCTTAATTCCACCTTCTGAGTTCTTACTTGGAGGTTGGGGGGAGGTGGGGAAGCAAGCTAAAGAGTAGATAGCTCCTAATCCTTTCCCAAAGTAACTGTCTTCTCTTGAAACAGAGCATAGAGAAGTTCAAGCCTAAGTGTTTCCTTAAGAAAAAGAGAGATTGTGGTGAAAAGTCAATTGTGAAGAGACTCATGGATCTACTAGAGATACGGCTAGACTTCAGGACAGTTAGTTTGCCTAGGTACTGGAAAATAACACAGCTAGATGGAGTCCTTCTGATGTCAGAACAAACATTAAACACTGACCACAGAAAGGAATCCATCAAAAGAGGCATAACTTGAATGAAGTAATTTGTAGCAAAATTCATGCCCAGAATAACGTAGAAGACAATAAGCAATAAGCTGGCATTAGTGAAGTTTAACAGCTGGATTTGGTCACATAAAGAGTGGAAGAGATCCTCATCAAAGCTATTGTCATCACAGGGTAAGGGTGGAGATACCCCAAATGTCAACCTTTTGGAGGAGCAACAACAAAGGCTAATAACTGTGAGGGAGGAAATAGACTTCACTAAAATAATTCAACTCGTCACTATTCAAACGGAAAAAGGAAAGACAAGCAAATAACAATAACAAGTCTTGGATATATGTTTGATGGTGAGACAAATACCTGGAGTTGCTACAATATGGTATTTAAAATGTGTAGTTTCCAACAACAAAAACAAAGTACAAGGCATGCAAAGAAAGAGTAAAGTATATCTCATACACTGGTAACAATGTAGGCAACCATAACTGTCTGTGAGAGTGACCAGATGTCAGGTTTAGTAGAAAATAATTTCAAACTAGCCATAAGAATTATGTTCAAAATCCAAAGGCATGCATGATAAATGAAATAATTTAAGGTATAAATACAGTACCACACCAAATAGAGAAAATAAATGAGATAAAAATTACATTAAGAAAAAAAAAACTAGAAATTTTGGAATTGAAAAGTATAATAACAAACCGAAAACATTCTCTAGAGGGCCTGAACAGTAGATTTAAACTGTCAGATGAAAGAATTAGTGAACTTGAAAATAAAGCAATAGAGATTACACAATACAACTAAGTATCACAATAAAACAATGCATCAGGAAAATAAACAGTAACTTTCAAGGCAATCACAATATAAGATTAACAGCTGACTTCTCAGCAGAAATAATGGAGGCCAACAGGCAGTGAGATAATATTTGGAATTCAAAGGCCTCAAAGGAAAATAAAAAAATAAAGCAAACAAAAAGGTTTTAAACAAAGATCCAACAGAGCTATTTTTCTAAATGCATGTGAAATAAAAACACTCCCAGATAAACAAAAACTGAGACAGTTTGTTTCTGGTAACCCACCTTACAAGAAATGCTAAAGAAAGTTCTTCAGACAAGTGACCCATACAGTAATCTGAATCCACACAAACCAAAATTACTAGTAAAAGTAATTATGAAATTATGAGACAATATGTATTCATATGTTCCCCTTCTTAAGATATTTTAAAAAGCAATTGTATAAAATAATACATACACAATATGTTGATGGGCATATAACATATAGAAATGAAATACTTGTGTAATATATTTGCCAATAACTTTACAAAGGGTGGTAGGAGAAAATCTTAAGATAGCAATGCAATAATTCTAATAATGCATTTCTGGGTTTATAACATTAATAGATGCAATATGCATAATAATAATACCACAAAAAAAGGGAATTATAACAGAGCTATATAGCAGTAGTATTCTACTTGGATTAAACCAGTATAAATCAAGCTTTTTGGATAAGATATGATGTATGTTGTAAGCCATAGAATAACTACAACAAATGTTTAAATAAATACGGCAACAATGCTTGTAAACAAATGTAAATGTTTTATTAGAAAATATTCACTTAATACAAAACAAAGGTATAATGGAGTAGTAGAGGAACAAATAAACACATGAGACAGAAGATATAAAATGACAAACATAAATCAAACTATATCCAGAATAATATTAAATGTGAATGGAATAAATAATCACAAGACAGAGATTGTCAGACTGAATTAAAAATTATCCAATTATATGCTGTCTAAAGGCAATGTTCTTTAGATTCAAAAACACAAATAGATTGAAAGTGGGTTGGAAAAAGATATAGTATGCAATCAATCAGTAAACCACAAGAAAGATGGAGTGGTTGTACTGATACCAGACAAAATAGACTTTTAAACAAAAAATTTTTCCAGAATAAAATAGACCATATTACATTGACAATGGATAAAGCAGTTAATTTATTAGAAAGATAAAACAATTATAAACATATATATAATATGTATAACAATTATAAATTATATTATGTACTTCAATAAAAGAACATCAAAACACAGGCATCCCATTACTGAGTATATACCCAAAGGATTATAAATCATGCTGCTATAAAGACACATGTACACGTATATTTATTGCGGCACTATTCACAATAGCAAAGACTTGGAACCAAACCAAATGTCCAACAATGATAGACTGAATTAAGAAAATGTGGCACATATACACCATGGAATACTATGCAGCCATAAAAAATGATGAGTTCATGTCCTTTATAGGGACATGGATGAAGCTGGAAACCATCATTCTCAGCAAACTATCACAAGGACAAAAAAAACAAACACCCCATGTTCTCAATCATAGGTGGGAATTGAACAATGAGAACACACGGACACAGGAAGGGGAACATCACCAGGGCCTGTTGTGGGGTGGGGGGAGTGGGGAGGGATAGCATTAGGAGGTATACCTAATGTTAAATGACGAGTTAATGGGTGCAGCACACCAACATGGCACATGTATACATATGTAACTAACCTGCACGTTACGGACATGTACCCTAAAACTTAAAGTATAATAAATAATAATAATAATAATAAAAAAACTGACAGAATAAAAAGTTGAAATAGATGAGTCAACAATAATATTGGAGATTTCAATACTCTGCTTTCAATTGTAGATTAAATAACTAGTTAGAAGATCAACAAGGAAGTAGAAGACAAAACTACAAAGCAATTATAAGTAACAGTTATGTACAGAATACTTCACTCAACAGTAACACAAAATACATACTTCTCAACTGTGCATAGAACATTGTTCAGGATGAACAATATGTTACAACATAAAATGAATGTAAAGGAATAGAAATAATTTAAAATATGTCCTTCAATCATAATGGAATGCACTTAGAAAAAAATATGGGAAAATTGCAAATATTTTAAAATTAAACAACATGGTAATAAATAACTAAGGTGGTAAAGAAGAAATCAAAATGGAAATCAGAACACATATTGAAATGTGGACACAAAATACCTCTACTTATGGTATGGAGTTAAAGAAGTGTTCAGAGAGAAACAGGAGCTAAAAAGTGTTCAGAGAGAAACAGTATATGCTTATATTAAGAAAGATAAGGGAAAGCAAGATGGCCCACTAGTCAGAGACAGGTGGAGCAGCTGCCATCGAGGGGACAAGACAACTGGTGCACGGCTAACATCTTCAGAGCAAAGGCACTGAGAGTGAATGGAGGGAAGACACAGAAGCTGGGCTATAGGAGGAGGAAGCTTGGAACCATGCAAGGGCCTATCACAGACTGGGACTTGTTCCTGGTCCCCAACAACTCTGGAAGAATGGATAAATTGAACTAGCAAGAAGCAACCTGTTCTCACCATAGGCCTGTGTCATCCCAGCAGAAGGAGACCTCTCAAACACTCTGGACACTCAAGTTAGCAAGGATTGCTGCTTAGTGAAGTGGTAGGGGCAGAAAGCCAGATGATGTGCAACCCAAAGGGTTTGGTGTAGGAGCATCTTTAGTGGAGCATGGGAAGGGTTATTCTTCCCCCTAGGCTCAAATTTTTCCCATAGAAGACTTTACCCTTAGGGGAGCTGTTGGACCTGACTTCTACAGACTGGCCTTCCTTATCAGATAGGGCTGAAAACAGAATTCAGAATATGGACAGGAAGGAAAATTACTGAGATGCAGGAGCAGGTTGAAATTCAATCTAAGGAAGCTAAGAATCACAATAAAATGGTGCAGGAGCTGATAGACAAAATAGCTAGTATAGAAAAGAACATAACCAACCTGATAGGGCTGAAAAATGCTACACAAGTTTCATAATGCAATTACAAGTATTTATTAATAATAGAATAGAACAAGCAGAAGAAAGAATGCCAGAGCTTGAACACTGGCTTTCTGAAATAAGATAGCCAGACAAGAATAGAGAACAAAAAAGAGAAGAAATAAACAGAACCTCTGAGAAATATGGGATTATGTAAAGAGACCAAATCTACTACACATTGGTGTCCCTGAAAGAGATGGGAAGAGTGTAAGCAACTTGGAAAACATATTTCAGGATAACAACCATGAAAACTTCCCCAACTTAGCTTGAGAGGACAACATTGAAATTCAGGAAATTTAGAGAACCCCGGCAAGATACTCCACAAGAATATCCCAAAGATAAATAATCATCAGATTCTCCAAGGTCAAAATGAATGAAAAAATGTTAAAGGTTAGGTCACCTACAAAGGGGTGCCCATCAGACTAACAGCAGAGCCCTACAAGCCAGTAAAAATTAAGACCCAATATTCAACCTTCTTAAAGAAAAGAAATTCCAACCCTGAATTTCATATCCAGCCAAACTAAGCTTTACAAGTAAAGGAAAAGTAAGATTGTTTTCAGAGAAGGAAATGCTGAAGGGATTCATTGCTTCATTACTAAAGTAACTGCCTTACAAGAGCTCCTGAAGGAGGCACTAGATATGAAAAGGAAAGAACATTACGAGCCACTTAAGTATATAAACCAGTGACACTATAAAGCAACCACATAAACAAATATGAATAGTATCCAGCTAACAACATGATGACAGGATCAAATACACACATATTAGTACTAACCTTGAATGTAAATGGGTTAAATGCCCCAATTAAAAGGCAGAGAGTGGCAAGTTTGATTAAGAACCAAGACTCATTGGTATGCTGTCTTCAAGAGACCCATCTCACTAGCTATAATACCCATAGGCTCAAAATAAAGAGATGGGAAAAAATCTACCAAGCAAGTGGAAAACAGAAAAAGGCAGAATAAAAAACTCCATAGTCTTGGCCCCAAAGCTCCTTCAGCTGATAAAAAGTTTCAGCAATGTTTCAATGTACAAAAATCACTAGCATTCCAATACACCAACAACAGACAAGCCAATAGCCAAACACAATTCCATTCGCAATTGCCACAAAAAGAATAAAGTACCTAGCAATATAGCTAACCAGGGAGGTGAAAAATCTCTACAAGGAGATGACAAAACACTTCTCAAAGAAATTAGAGATGACACAAACAAATGGAAAAACATTCCATGCTGGTATGGTTTGGATCTGTGGCCCCACTCAATTCTCTTGTTGAAATGTAATCCCCATTGCTTGAGGTGGGTTTGGTGGGAGGTGACTGTGTCATTGGTATGGTTTCTCATGGCTTAACACCATCATCCCTTGGTAGCAATAGTGAGTTCTCTTGTAAGAGCTGGTTGTTGACAAGTGTGTGGCACCTCCCTCCAGCTGGTGCTCCTGCTTTGGACATGTGATGTGCCTGCTCTGGCTTTGCTTTCTGCCATGAGTAAAAGCTCCCTGAGCCCTCCTCAGAAGCAGATGCTGCCACGCATGCTGCACAGCCTGCAGAACCATGAGCAAATTGCATCTCCTTCCTTATAAATTGCTCAATCTCAGCTATTTTTATAGCAATGTGAGAATGAATTAATACACACACTCATGGATAGGAAGAAACAATATTGTTAAAATGGCCATACTTCCCCAAGCAATTCATAGATTCAATGTTATTCCTATGAAACTACTAGATACATTCTTCTCAGAACAAGGAAAAAAATAAACTTTTAAAAAATTTACATGGAACCAAAAAATAGCTAAGGCAGTCCTAAGTGAAAAGCACAAAGCTGGAGACATTATGGTACCCAACTTCTAACTAAATCACAAGGCTACCAGAACCAAAAACAGCATGGCACTGGTACAAAAACAGAAACATAGACCAATGGAACCAAACAAAGAGCCCAGAAATAAGTCTGAACACCTCCAACCAGTTGATCTTCAACAAAGCTAACAGAAACAAGCAATGGGAAAAGGGCTCCCTATTCAATAGTGTTGAGATAATTGGCTAGTATATGGTGTAAGGACCCCTTCCTTACACCATATACTAAAAGCAACTTAAGATGAATTAAAGATTTAAATATAAAACCCAAAACTATCAAAACTCTAGAAGACAGCCTAAGCAATACCATCCTGAATGTAAGAACAGGCAAAGATTTCATGATAAAGACACTAGAGCAGTTCCAACAAAAGCAAAAATTGACACATGTGATCTAATTAAAGTAAAAAGCATCTACACAGGAAAATAAACCATTGGCAGGGTAAATAGACAACATACAGAATGAGAGAAAATTTTTGCAAACCATGCATCTGGCAAAGGTCTAATAACCTGCATCTACAAAGAACTTAAACAAATTTATAAGGAAAAATAAACATTAAAATGTGTGCAAAAGATATGAACAGACACTTCTCAAAAGAAGACATACATGTGGCAAGAAGCATATCAAAAAAAACCTCAGCATCACTGATCATTACAGAAATGAAAATCAAAACCACAAAGAGATACCATCTCATACCAGTCAGAATGGCTATTATTAAAAAGTAAAAAAAAAAAACAGATGCTGGCAAAGTTGTGGAGAAAAGGGAACACTTATATACCATTGAAGGAATGTAAATTACTTCAAGCATTGTGGAAGACAGTGTAGCAATTCCTTAAAGAGATAAAAGCAGAACTACCATTTGACCCGGCAACCCCACTGCAGGGTATATACCCAAAGGAATAGAAATAATTCTATTATAAAGACACATGACACGTATGTGCACTGCAGCACTATTCACAATAACAAGGAAATGGAATCAACCTAAATGTCCATCAGTGGTAGACTGGATAAATAAAATGTGTTACATATTAACCATGGAATATTATGCAGGCATAAAAAGAACAAGGCCATGCCGTTTGCAGGAACAGAAGCTGGAGGCCATTATCTTTAGCAAATGAATACAGAAACAGAAAACCAAATACTACATGTTCTAACTTATAAGTGGCAGCTAAACATTGGATACATATGGACACAAAGATGGCAACAATAGACATTGGGGACTACTAAAGGGGGTATGGGGGGAGGGGGCCAAGTATTGAAAAAGTAACTATTGTGTACTAAGCCTAGTACCTGGGTGATGGAATCATTTGTAACCCAAACCTCAGCATCAGGCAATATACCCATAAAACAAATCTGCACATGTACCCCAGAATACAAAATAGAAGTTGAAATTATTGGAAAAAAAGAAAGAAAGATAAAAGTTCTGACATCAATAACACTGGACAAAGGAGAGAAAACTAAAACTAAAATAAGTAGAAAAAAAGGAAATAAAGAATGCAGCTGAAAGTAATTGATTATAAAATACAAAAACAGTAGAGAAAATCCAAGAAGTAAAATGCTGAGTCATCGAAAAGATCAACAGTGTTGAGAAACATTTAGCTATAATGGCCAAGTGAAAAAACAGTAAAAAGAAAGAGAAATCTCATATTAGTAGAATAAGTAATGAACGAACTCAGGTTACTATTGGTGCTACAGAAATAAAAAGAATTACCAATTAATAAGAGCAATTGTGCACTAATTATAAATTAGGTAACATAGATGACCTAAACACATTGTTAGATAGACATAAACTAACCAAACTAACTCAAGAAGAAACAAATAATCTGAATACACTTGTAGTAGGTGAATTATTGGATAAGTAATCAATACAAAATAACACAAAACGCTATTCACAAAAGAAAGCCCACACTCAGATGGTTGCACTGCTTAACTATGTTAAACATTAAAAAAAATAGTAATACCAGTTCTTCAAAGACATTTAAAAAAATAAACAAAAAACAAAAGAAAAGGAGATAATATTTTCCGATTCATTTTATGAGAACAATATTACTATGATACCCAAACCAGACAAACATATCACAAGAAAAAAGACTATAGATATCTCTCACAAGTACAGATCCAAAAATCCTGGACAAGATACTACCAAACTCAACCCTACAACCTATATAAAGAATTATATACCATGACTAAGTGGAATTTATCCCAGGAATGCTAAGTTGGCTCAATATTTGAATTGAACTTTTTTTTTAAGTGGAGGTCTTGCTATATTTCTCAGGCTGGTCTTGAACTCCCAGGTTCAAGAGATCCTCCTGCCTCGGATTCTCAATTATTTGGGATTGCAGGTATGTGCCATTGCACCTGGCTAACATCTGAATTTCAATTAATACACTATCCTATTTCAATAGAATATTTTTTTGTTTTTATTTCGGCTTTTATTTTAGATTAAGGGCATACATAAGCACGTTTGTTACATGGGCATATTGCAGCATAATGAGATTTGGGGTATGATTGATCCTGTTGCCCAAGTAATGAGCATGGTGGTCAATAGGTAGTTTTTCAAACTTTTCCCTCCTCCCCCTTCTCCTTCTACTAATCCCCCATGTCTGTTGTTCTCATCTTTATGTTCACATATATCTAATGTTTAGCTCCCACTTGTAAATGAGAACATGTGGTATTTGGCTTTTGGTTTTTGTGTTAATTTGCTTAGGGTAATGGCCTACAGCTGCATTCATGTTGCTGCAAAATACATTATTTATTTCATTCTTTTTTATGGTCTGTGTAGTATCCCATGGTGTATATGTACCACATTTTCTTTATCCAATCCACCACTGATGGACACTTAGGTTGACTCCACGTCTTTGCTATTGTGAATCGTGCTGTGTTGAACATACACATGCATTTGTTTTTTCAGTAGAAAAATGTATATACTCCTTTCAGCATATACCTAGGAATGGGATTACTGGGTCAAAAACAAAAACAAAAACAAAATCAACAAACTAGGAAAGAAAGTATATTAGGGTTCTCCAGACAGACAGAACCAATTGAATGTATTGCCTTAGATATAGTTATATGAGAATATGTTTATTAGGGAGATTATTTCTCATGATTATAGAGACAGAGAAGTCCCATGACAGGTCATCTGCAAGCTAGAGGACCAGGGAAACCAGTATTGTGGCTCAATCCAAGTCCAAAGGACTCAGAACCAGGGAAACTGATGGTGTAATTCTCAATCCAAAGACATGAGAACCCAAGGGCTGCTGATGCAAGCTGTGGAGTCCAAAGGCCAGAGGACCTGAAGTTTAAATGACCAATGGCAGGAGAAAAGCCTAGTTCTAAGAGAGAGAGAGAGAGAGAGAGAATTTGCTTTCCTCTGACCTTTTGTTTTATCTGGGCCTCAGCTGATTGGATGGTGAGCACTCACATTAAGTGAGCGCGGATTTTTCTCACTCAGTCCACTGATTCCAATGTTAATCTTTTCCACAAATGCCATTTCAGAAATAATGCTCTACCAGCTATCTAGGGATCCCTTACTCCATTCAAGTTGACACCTAATATTAACCATCACGGAAGAGAATGTTTTCAATTGATAAACATAAAGGGTATCTATGAAGAAAGTAACATTACACTCAATGGTTAAAGGCTGGATAATTTCTTCCTAAGATCTGGAATAATAAAAGTATATCCACTGTTGACACTTCCATTCAGCAGTAAACTGTATATTCTAGTCAAGGTAATTAGTCAAGATCAAGAAATAAGACATCCACAAGGAAGAGAGAGGAGTAAAACTATTTGTATTTGTAGATGGCATAATTCTGCACATAAAAAATCTGAAAGAATTCACACACAAAGAAATTAATAAATGAATTCACCAAGGTTGAAGGATACAGGATCAAAATGAAAGTTAATTGTGTTTTTGTACAATTTCAATAAGCACTGTGGGGATTAAGTTAATATAACAATTTCATTGACAATAGCTTCAAAAATAATGAAATACTTAAAGGGATTATAACGGAAAAAGGGCAAAACATATTCTAAAAACTATAAAATGTAATTGAAAGAAATTGAGGACTATGTATATAATTAGAAAAGCTTCCTATGTTCATTGATCACAAGACTTAACATTGTTAAGATGGTATTATTCCTCAAACTGAGCTACAGATTCAATAAAATTCTCATCAGTATCTCAGCTGACTTCTTTATAAAAATTGACAAGCTGATTCTAAAGCTCATATGGGATTTCAGGGAAATTAGCCAAAACAATCTTTACAAAGGAAAACCAAATAGAAGTAGTTATATTTCACGATTTCAAACTACTTCAAATCTGTAGTAACTAAGTTAGGGTGAAACTGACAAAAAGTCAATCACATAGAACAATGGAATAAAACTGAAAGCACCCCAGAAGAAAATCTATGTATTTATGGTCAAATGATAATCCATAAGAGTACAAAATTATTCAATGAGGAAAGAATAGCCTTTTCAAAAAATGGTGCTGGAACAACTGTATAGCAACATGCAAGTGGATGAAGCTGGACATTTACTTCACACCACATACAAAAATTGACCGAAAATGGATCAGACCCAAATGTAAAAGCAAAATTTGTAAAATTCTTATGATAAAACAGAGTTAAATAAATCTTTACGACCTTAATTTTACCAAAGGAGTCCTACATATGACACCAAAAAGCACAGCATCAAAATAAATATATAAGTTGCATTTTATCAAATATTTTTTTTCAAAGTGATGGCTTTCAAAGCAGCATTAAGACAGTAAAACATCAACCTGAAGAATGGTAGAAAACATTTTTAAAGCATCTATCTGCAAGAGACTCATTTCCAGAATATATAAAGAACTCTTACAATTCAATAATAAAGAAAAAGAACCTAATTTTTTAAAAAAAAAAAAAAAACATGAGCAAAGGACCTGAACAGACACTTCAGCATGTAAAACATACAAATGGACAACAAACACATGACAATGTGCTTGACATCATCAGTCATCAGGGAAATGCAAGTCAAAATCACAATAAAATACTACATTACATCTTGTAGGATGGCTAAAATCAAAAAGTCACCTAACAACAAGTATTGGCAAAGGAGGAAAAATCGTAACACTAGCACAAGGCTGGTGGGAATGTGAAATGGTGCAGCCACTCTGGAAAACAATCGGACACACCCTCAAATGATGAAGCAGAGAATTTCCATATAACCCAGCAGTTCCACCGTGAGGTTCATGCCCAAGTAAAATGAAAACACGTCCACATAAGAGCTTATACACAAATCACAATAGCCTAGAAATGGAAACAACCCAAATGTCCACCAACTATTAGATTGGTGCAAAAGTAATCATGGATTTTGCCATTACTTTCAATGGCAAACTGCAATTACTTTTGCACCAACCTAATAACAAATGTATAGGAAGATATGTTATACCCATACAATGAAATATTATGTAGCCATAAAAAGGAATTAAGTACTGACATATGCCACAACAGGGATGAACTTTGAAAACATTATGCTGAGAGAAACCTGTCATGAAGCACAAAATATTGTATGATTTCATCTATATCAAATGGCCTGAACAGGCCAAACTATAGAGACAGAAATCAGATTAGTGATGGCTTAGAGCTGGGGATGAGGTGAGAGACAGGAGGATAGAGGAGCAAAAGCTAAAAACTACAGAGTTGCTTTTTGAGATGATGAAAATGTTTTAAAATTGAGGGTTGTGATGACTGCAGCACATTGGCATTTTAGCCATGGCTACTGTCACTGAAGAGGACATAGTTGGTACACTTTGAGGACACAGCTGTCAAGGAAGAAAGCTGTGCATCCCTGCATGGGCTTTCCAACAGTCATGAAATGGAAATGCCTCAACTCCTTGAAAAAAATAAAGGTTAAGGAGAAGTTAAGATGTCAATATTACTGAATTTAAGAAATGTCTTATCTATGATTTAGGATACTTTTTGTTTTCTTGCAGTCTATATACTAAGACTATAAAAATGTGAGTGAAATATTTTAGAATGTTTTATGGAGCCAAACATACAGTTATGTTCATGGCAGAATGACAGAGTGAAAACTAATTCCAGAAAGTTCTGGAAGAGAAGCAAACAACTGTGTCCAAAGGAAGTCAGGAATCCCATGGGCTCACATCAGAAAACACCCTATGATGGTGATTAAGGGCAAGATCTTTGGAATTCCTCAGACGCACTTGGATCTAGGTCTCTCATTAACAAGAAAGGAGTTTCTGAGCAAGTAACAATTTCTGAGGGTGTGTTGCTTCATCTGTAAAGTAGGGATAATATCTATTTAGATAGGTTATTGGAAAAATTAAATTAGATCTTGTGCATAAAGCACTCTATTAGGTTCAATTAGGAAACTGAAGATATAACTGATATAACTGAAAATATAGCAAATATTTTAGTCGAAAGTATATAACATATGAGAGACAACATAGTTTTAAGAGAGAACCTAAGCAGGATTTTATATAAAATTTAGTAGGGAGCTGAAAAAAACAAAAACAAAACAAAACAACAACACTGAGACATGAAGGTAGCAACTACAGGAAGTAGCTTGCCCTACTCTTTAGGACTGGCAGAACTAGAAAGACAGATGTGTACTATTGGAACTTAGAAGCCTCAAGGGGGGTGCATGGAGCTGAAACATAAGACGCCCAAGGAAAGGCTGTTGCTGGGCTCTATGAGAAAACAGGATTACTCTCTGGTTCTCTGAGTACTGAAGAGCTGCTAAATGTCTTTACCTGCTGCTGCAGACAGAAGCATGGGGTGATTTTTGGACGTTGTTTGTAGGACCAGGAAAAAGACAGGGAAAAAGCAGAAAAAAACAAGTCCTTACCTACTTCTGCCTGCCTTGCTCTTGTAAGCCTTTTGCCAAAACTGAATTTAGAGCCAGCTGTCACAGCAGAAAAATTATCTGCAGAGCCTAAATCCAGCATCACAAAGAAAAGGAGCAAAGATTGGGTTTGGAGCTGGGAGATAGGAGCTTAATCACCATCACAAGCAGTTTATAAAAAATTAGAATTGATAAGCCTTAATTATTATTGCAAATATCATCATGACCAGTGGATAATCTGGAAGTGAAAGACCTCTAGAATCAACTCCCTTAATAAAGAACATCAGATTTTGAGGACTCCTAATGCCTAAGGGATTTTTACTATTTCATATGCCATGCATTCGTAACAGACTTGTCAAACATTAATGTCTCTTTTAATTATTTTACATTAAGAAGCCTAGAAAGGGCTGGGCATGGTGGCTTATGCCTGTAATGCCAGCACTTTGAGAGGTCAAGGCAAGTGGATCACTTGAGGCCAGAAATTTGAGACCAGCCTGGCCAACATGGTGAAAACCCCTCTCTACTAAAAATACAAAAATTGGCCCAGCATGGTGGTGTGCACCTGTAGTCCCAGCTACTCGGGAGATGAGGCACAAATCGCTTGAACCCAGGAGGTGGATGTTGCAGTGAACTGAGGTCACACCATTGCACTAAAGCCTGGGTGACAGAGCGAGACCCTGTTTCAAAATAATAATAATTTTAAAAGTCTAGTAAGAATGTTGTAGAGGCTGTGCCTGTTCAATAGGTCAGTAATCTTTATGGCACTATAAATGCTTTACAAAGAGGAAATATTTCTAATCTATGCATCGGAAATTATACAATTTCATAATTTAAAAATTGATCAAACTATTTATTCTGATTTGGGATTTAGGATTTAGAAAATAAGTTCAGTATACTCACGACACTGGACTTACTGTCATTTTCATCGGAGTCCTGATGTTAGAGTGGGTAGCTAGGCAGACATGAGCAAGGCAGGAGGGGGCCCCCTCCGAGGAATATAAGGCAACCATCAGGTGATGGTCATGAGGTTGTTAAACTGTTTCTCTAAAATAGTAATTGCTCACATCTGGAGCTAGGGAAAGGTAGTCTTCCAATATATAGAAAACACCTGAAGCTGGTGATGAGCCGCTTCTCAGTAAGATTCAAGGAGTTGGGTGAGTAGGCTTGAGCATGCGCACTAAGAGGCAAAATGGCGGAGTTTAACTGGTATAATGACCCTCCTCTAGGAACACTTGACTAGTAAGAAATGCCTCAAATGACCATGTGCACAGCTCCAGTAAACAGACTGCATTTGTGGCCCCTCCTAAGTGCTTGCAGGCCACTGCTCACTGTGGGCAGCCCACTCCAGTGAAAAATCAAAGGAGAGATGCAAAAAACCCTGAAAGTATGTCAACTTATAAAACCCCAAGTCAAAGGACTAAATGGTGCACTTGAATCTCTTAAGTTGCCTGCTTGGACCTGTTCCAAGTGTACTTTATTTCCTTTTGTTCCTGCTCTAAAACTTTTTAATAAACTTTCACTCCAACCCTAAAACTTGCCTCAGTCTCTCGCTCTGGCTTATGCCACTCAGATGAATTCTTTCCCATGAGGCAGCAGGAATTGAGTCGCTGAGACCTGTACAGATTCACCACTGCTAACACTGATATTTCCTCTGTAATGATGATTTCAAGATCTAAAACATAATTTACTTTAAGGCCCCTTGTGGCAGACATGGACTTATGAGGCTCCAATTTCCCTTCAAGAACTTGTTGATCAGCTATAAGAAGTGCAAGTAGCTGATGGCCTTCGGCAATTGCACCTTTGGGATCCACGGCACTGTTTGAACTGAGGTCATGCTTCTCCCGGCAGCTCCCAGCCGGTGACTAGGCAAGACAGCAGTACAAGAAAACATCTGCCCATGCAGGACTCATTAAAAGCCACGCTTTATGCCGGAGCTCCTTTTGGGGCTGGGTTAGAAATGCTCAGAGCTTCACTGCACTCTGAGGCTCCTTCTACCCAAGCATCCTCTGCCTTTACCCTCTATTTGTCCAAGTCAGGTCTGTATTATGCTCTGAAGGCTCTCCTTGACAATACTGCTTGCTCTTTCTTTATCCTCAATGGGAAGTACCCCAAATAATTTTTTTCCTCTAACACCATCTTGGCAACTGTTCCTTTTTGTTTTGATATCCTTAATTCTAACCTGTTTTTCCTTTTTTTTAAAAAAAATAGCTTTATGGAGATACAATTCCCATAAGATAAAATTTACCAATGTAAACTGTACAATTCAGTGGATTTTAGGGTATTCACAGATACGTGCAAATAGCACCACCATCAATTCTGGAATATCATTATTCCCTTTCTGCCCAACCTCAGTCCTGAATAACTACTAATCCACTTTCTGCCTCTATGGATATCTTTATTCTGGACATTTCAAATAAATGGAATCATATAACATGTGGTCTTTTGTGTCAAGCTTCTTTCATTTAGTATAACGTTTTTAAGGTTCATCCATATGCTAACATGTATCAGTACTCTATATTTTTTATAGCCAAGTCATATTCCATTGTATGGTCATTTCATATTTTGTTTATCCACTCACCTGTTGATGGACATCTGAGTTATTTTTACCTTTTGGATATTATGAATGATACTGCCATAAACATTCATGTGCAGGCATTTTTGTGGACATATCCTTTCATTTCAGTTGGGCACATACCTAGGAGTGGAATTGCTGAATCAGATGGAAACCATTAATTACTATGGGAACTGACAGACTGTTTTCCAAAGGATTTTGCCCCATTTTACATTTCTACCAGCAATGCACAAGTGTTCCAATTTCTCCACATTCTTGCCAACATTTATCTGACTTTTTGATTCTAGCCATCCTAGTGGGAGTGTAGTTGTATTTCATTATGGTTTTGACTTACGTTTCTATGATGATTAATGATGCCAAGCATATTTTCTTGTGCTAATTGACCATTTGTGTCTCTTCTTTAGAGATTGTGACTTCTTGGATGAATCTGTTTCTGAGGCCAGTTTTTTGTTTTTTTGAGACAGGGTCTCACTCTGTCACCTAGACTGGAGTGCGGTGGCACAATGTTGGCTCACTGCAACCTCTGCCTCCTGGGCTCAAGGAATTTTTCTGCCTCAGCCTCCTGATTAGCTGGGATTACCAGCACACACCACCACATCCAGCTAATTTTTTTTTTTTATATTGTTAGTAGAGACGAGGTTTCACCATGTTGGCCAGGCTGTGAAGTCAGTTTTTGATATTTGTTCTGACACTAAGAGGACTCTACCCAGCTGTTCTAATCTACAGTTGATCTTTGAACAACACGGGTATGAGCTATGAGCATCTACTTACATGTGGTTTTTCTTCTGCCTCTGCCACCCATGAGCCAGTAAAACCAATGCCTCTGTTACTGATGGAAGGTATCTGAGTTACTGATGGCGAATCCTCGTGGGTCTGCAGCAGCCTCAATTCTTGCCGCCTCAGAAGAAAAAATTTGACTGAGGGGCATAAGGCAACAAAAGAGACCAAGGCAGGTTTCAGAGCAGGAGTGGAAGTTTATTTTAAAAGGCTTTAAAATGGGAAAGAAAATAAGGAAAGTACGCTTGGAAGAGACTCAAGGGGGCACCGAGGTCAAGTGCAGTGTTTAACCTTCATCCTAGGACTTTAAACACTGGGCCCTTTCCCATGGTTTTTCCCTTAGGGTGGGCTGCCCACATGCACAGTAAGGGCCCCCCTTACCCTGGGGAGGTGAGCACGTGCAGTATGTTTACGAAGTTGTGCACATGCCTCTCTGAGGCTTTCTTCCCTTTTCCAGGGGAGTGTCTTCAGAAGGTTATACTCTGCCGTTTTGTCTCTTAATGCGCCCGCTCAGGAAGCTGTGTCTCCCTGGTGCCTGCATTCAATTAACATTTTAGTGCAGCACTTGTGGATTTTCCGAAAATGGCCTCTCCCTGGCACCGGCTGCCAATTTATCACTTTTAAAGAGGCAATGTGATAAGTACCAAACCATCACCGGGTATTTCTAGTGGGTGGGGAAAGAGCCCTCTCCTGCCCTGCTCATACTTGTCTAACTACGTGTAACACCTCCTTTTCCTCCTCCTCTCAGCCTACTCAGTGTGAAGGCGATAAAGGTGAAGACCTTTATGATGATCCACTTCCACTTAATGAGTAGTAAAAATATTTTCTCCTTCTTATGATTTACTTAATAATATTTTCCTTTCTCTAGCTTACTCCATTGTAAGAATACAATGTGTAATACCTATAAGCTACAAAATCTATGTTAGTCAACTGTTTATGTTATCAGTAAGACTTCCTGTCAACAGTAAGCTATTAATAGTTAGTTTTGGGGGCAGCCAAACATTATACACAGGTTTTTAACTGCATAGGGGGTCAGGGCTTCTAACTTCCATGTTGTTCAAGGGTCAAGTGTACATCTGTCTTCTGAAAGCTAGCTGGATTATGGTCTAACCTGTACCATTATGTGACTCATAAATTCCTTTCAGATTTTTCACCACAACTCCACTCTTCTTGAGAAAGCCCTTGGTCTTGACTTTCTCCATATTTTATTGCCAATGAAGTCAATGCCTTTGGGAAGGGATCAGGAGCTGTTTTAAATCTGTTTCTCCCCCAGGCATATCTCTTAACCAGGACTCTGGAGCCTGGGTGGGGACAATGACAAGTCTCTCTTTGAGTGACACCACACTCTAGTAGGTGGTGCTGGGTGGGCTAGTGAAGCAGCCAGCTGAGGTCCTCTCAGTTTATGACTGCAGGCCTAGGATCACCACCTCATTAGTTGGGTCAGGGTTATGAGGAAGCTGGTGTCATCAGCCTGCCATGCTTTGAGTGGGCATTGCAGTCACCCAAGTCTCATCCCCAACACAAACTAGCTGGAGGTGAGATGAGAAATACTGATGTTCTGGGAAGACAGCCTCCAGCCGAGAGCCAGGGAAAGGGACCCCAGTGCTTGGCAGCACTGGAAGTCTGGAGTAGAGAGTCCACCTCACTGAGCTGTAGCCATCTTCATTCAAAATAAGACAGACTTTGTTCTTCCTTGCTGATATTTGTAAATGTTCTTGAATAGATGTTTCTTTATGTGCTAATTGTACTTAGTACCATTTCCAGGGACCTTTAATTTTTTTTTATAGTTTTCAGAAATTTATCTGGTCAGTGGAGCTCTACACCATCAAGGTATCATAACTCTCTTTTTATTGAAAAAATAACATATGCAAACAGGACTAATTTGGAAACCAACCCACAAATAAACATTGGATGACATAATATCTACCACTCAGAATTATAATTATATTTGAACATGTGTCATGGATGTAAAGTGATTATTGTAGTGCCTAACAAATGATGCCTATAACACATAGTTCCAAAGATAATGTGGGAGCTAAGAATGGTGAGTAATTTTTTTAGTAACAGCCAAATAAATGGCGAGAATGAGCTTCCTCTAGAAACTTGTGATGGAGCGGGCACAGGAAAAATAAGATCTGTAGTTTAACTGAAGCACTCCACTGCTTGTGAGGAACAAAAGCAGCATGGGATGTGGTCCCTGCCCTCCAGGGAACTGCAAATTAGTTTAGAAGACAAGATGCTGACTTTCAAAATATGTACTTAATCTGTGAGGCCACTTAGAAATCATCTAATACAGTGCTCTTAATATAAATGAGGAAATGAAGGCTCAGGGATTCACTTTCTAAGATTTCTACATGCTATGGTAGAAGTGATCTAATCTAGAATACACACCTAATTTGACCTAGTGATCATTCTGTAAATAACTATATTGTGAAGCTGTCTGTAATTGGTGTTCCTGAGAAGCAATTACTGCTGGAATTCAGATGTAGGGGCCATCACTACAGTTGCTGTGATTAGAGAAGGCTGCAGCTTAGAGCTGAAGGTTGGTTTATCCCAGCTGTGAGGCAGTGGGGCTCAATATGAATGTAAAATAGAATTAATGAGCAGCTTTCAAAAACCCCACCGACCATACCTCACCACAGGTGTCAGTATTTTTTAATGTGCTCCAATCGATTCTAATGTATAGCCCAGGTTCAGAAGCATCATTGTAATGGAAAGATAGGAGCGATCAGCAACAGTTAGAGGAAAGTATTTCCAATAAGGAAGATTGATTACCTAGTGCAAGGAAGTAGAAAATTGTGTAATGTTTTGAAAAGACTGAAAACATAGATATTTACAAATATATTTATTGTTAAATGTATCAATCCCACCTGTGTACCTATCTGGATTTATTTTACAGTGGTCAAAAGCCACTAACTGTTTGGGGAGGAAGCAATAGGACTGAACCCTATTGCTTAGAAGATTAAAATGGGAAGACACAGGGAGCGTCCTCCAAAAGCAGGTGTCATGTTTCTCCAGTTCCTGCAGTGACTTGTAGGTATCTGTATCCCAGGGTACAGTCTTGTAGTTTGGTCCTTCCAGCTGGAAGGATTTTAGGCACTCTGAAGGATTTACCTTTGTTCTCAGGTCTGGAGTCAGTCTTGTCCATTTTGGATTGAGGACAATTAAGGCAACAGGATGACAGCTAATATCTATAGTAGACCCACAAAGTGCATGCACATTATCTCGTCTAGCTCACTGAGTTAGTGCTACGCAAGGAGTCAATGGGTATTACATTCTCAGCATTGGCCAACCTGATTACCAGTTTTCTTGATGTGATGTGCCCAGGGGTGAAGCCCATGAAAATCATGCTGTCTTTCTCTTTCTCGATTCTTCTAGAATCACTTCCTATGATACATATCATTGTGCATTGTGGGTTACATGCATATTTTGTCCTAAATTGGATATCATATTATACCTTTTTTGAATTTCTATTATCTGATACATAATAATACCCCACAAATATTTGTGTTAGTACCACCACTTTATAGCTGGAGGAGCTGAAGCTCAGGGAAATAGCTCGCCTGGAGTGACAGACTGATTAAGGCATAGCTGGTACTGGAGCCCAGGCTGACTACGGATGTCTGCACTTACGAGCTGCCTCCACTTGGATGTGTTTTCAACCCTAGACTGGTGAGACTGTGCTGGCATGTCTGGCCTGTTTTCCTAAAGCCTGGTACACCTGAGAGCTAATAGGCTCCAAATAAGTGTGTATTGATTGAATAAGATCTCCTGCCAGCCTTGCTTACTGCCCTAGAACTATGAAGAAAGTGCGGCCAGCCTACCAAGGAGACATCAGCTAAAGCGGAGATATGTTCTAACGGCCCATGGGCCGATTTAATCCATGTGAAGAATCGGGACCATGACAATTAGGTGCCATGAAGCAGATTCTGGTTTGTTTCAAAAAAATTTTTTTTCTGCTACTGGACCCTCCAAATTGAAATTGACTTCATAATGACGAAGAAGATTCTGTGTCACTGGGGCCTTTAGAAAAGGAGGGCAATCTTCCCTTTGGTCTGCACATTATTGAAGATACTCATGCATCAGTTTTCAATATGGATTGCACGCAATATTCATAAGGGAGATTTTACTAACACCTGGGCTCTGCTTCAAACCAATAAAAACCAACCCTCAGCAGGGAGAACTAGACATCAGTAAAGTGTCCAAGTTTACCTGGCAATTCCAGTGTGCAGCCAGGATTGAGAATGACTGAACTGGGGTGAGACAAGAGTGAGGAATCATTAATAATGATTGTTATGTGGGAATATGTAAAAAATATGGACAGACTCTCAGGTTTACTAGTTTATGATTCCTGGGGGAAGGAAATATAATAGTTTATGATTCCTGGATGAAGGAGTTTAAGAAGGAGGAAGAAGAAGCTTCTATTTTAAAAAGTCTCCAAGGTGATTCAGATGGGCCTTCCTAGCCCTAGGATGTAGATCTGCATCCCAGAACATTCAGACTAGAGCTCAGCGCTTGTGTGACGTCTCTTGACTGTCCCAGGTGTGTGGGTCACCCAATCTGGACCCTGCCCAGAACACAGGGCCCCCTCTAGCAAAAATATTTAGGTACCAGTTCCATCCATGCCCGGCTTATATCATTGTCTTATTTCCCCGAAATTGGAATATACCTCAATCCAAATTCTGCTCGTGCTGGCTTCTGGGTTCCTCTCAGTGTCTTCCAGCCTGCAGGGCCCAGGTTGGTCTGGTCTATGGCGGCCTAGCACAGTGCTGTAAAACAGACATCTTTCTCCTGGTATCTGCTTTGACAGCAAAAGCTTTTTACTCCCTGTGTGTTTAATTTTAATTTGCTTTGTAGTATCAAGGCATTCTGGGCACCTGTCAGGTCAGGCTATAAAAGGAGATCTGCAAAAGATTAAGTTATTCAATGCCGGGTCTTTTTGAACTGCAGCATACAGGGAGGGAGTCTCATTTTTATAATCTCTTTCTCCAAGATGCAAAGGCCTAAAAGCTGGCCTTTCTCTTCAAAACATGAATGCTTTAACCTAAGAGAGGAAGGGTCTTTCTTTCATGTCAGTTAGAGTCAGCCATCAGGCACAGACACACACAAATAGAAACGCATCAATTCATCATCAGTGGCTCTTGATTGTATACAGCCAGGCCCTGGGCCCTTTTCCATCACAGGTAATTACAGGTGAGCTACATGACAGAGCCTCAGTCAGTGTCATCATTTCTAGATTATGCTGTTTTTTAAATCCTAGTAACATTTGTTACAATATATATGAGAAAAGTTAATCATGCTTATAAACCAGTTTATAGATATAGATGTATTTTGTAGATGTACATAATTTCAAAAATAGTCAATATACACAGACTAGTAGACACTTCAAAATGATGAATTGATAATTTCTTGCTTATCTTGGTATATTGAGCAATTACCTAACATCAAAGAATTTTGGCTGTGTGTTAAATAAGCTCATTTACATTTTTATTTTTCATTCTTTTGTTCTCTCTTTCAGTGCCTCCACTACACAGAGGTTCAAAATCACTAAATGCAAACACCAAGACATTAGATCTGGAATGTAGTCTTCAAAACTGGTAGCCCCCGAGATGCTGGGCACAGGCATTGAGCGCCAAGAATAACCACATTAATTCAGACCTCTCCTTTAGTCCTCGAAGTCTAATTTAAATGCTGATGATGTTTGTACATTGGCTTAAAAAAAAAAATCTCTTTACAGAAAACTCTTCACTGTTTTCACACAGGACTCTGCTTTAGATTTTCTCAAATCTATCACTAACCACCCATAGAGTTTTTCAATACTGGTAAAGTTAAATGTTGGTATTTTTACAAGGTAACTCATGCAGGGATAAGCTTTGGTGTCATTTAATCTGTATCTGTAGCTGAACACTGACTGGATCTTTTTTGTAGCTTTTGAGTAGCCTTCTGGAGATTAATCTGGGGATGGATTGCTCCTTGGTGTAGCCTCAGAGTCCAATCAGAGTCAGCCCATTTGGTGGTTTAGATAACCAGGTCTACTAGGCTCTTTAATCTTATTCTAGGAGATATGACTGGCGTTTAGGATCTGCTTTCCGCAATGGAAGACTTGGCAGCATCCTTTTGTTGAAGGATGATATCAGTCCACCTTCTAGTATCACCTCAGTTCTGTTCATGGTTTGTTGCTTATGTAACTCTAAAGTATGAAACAGTGGTTGGCACTTAGGAGATGACCTGCAAGCATTTTTACTTGTTAAATAAATGCTATTGACATGTAACCATAGTTAAAGTATTGTATACTCAAATTTTTCAGATCTTTTTCTTACCAAATAAAGGTAACTCTGAGGTGACAAATATATTAATTAGTTTGACTCTGAAAATCATTGCACAAGGTATACTTATATCAAAACACGTTTTACATCTTAAGTATATAAAATTTTTATTTGTCAATCATACCTCAATAAAGCTGACAAAAATTAGTTAATTAATTAATGCTATTTATTGCCAATTCTTCCTCCAGCCAAATATTCATTCATGTGGAGTTCAATGGAAAGTTTATCTTGGACACTGATGTGGTTTGGCTCTGTGTCACCACCTAAATCTCACGTTGAATTTTAATCCCCCAGTGTTGGAGGTGGGGTCTGGTGGGAGGTGATTGGATCATGGGGGTGGTTTCTAATGGTTTAACACCATCCCCCTAGTGCTGCCTCATGATAGAGTTCTCATGAGATCTGGTTGTTTAAAAGTGTGTAGTACTTCCCCCTTCATGCCTTCGTGCTACCTCTCTCTCCCTCATTCTTTCTCTCTCTCCTGTTGCCATGTAAAGATGTGCTTGCTTCCCTTTCCAGTTGTGGCCTTCCGCCATGATTGTAAGTTTCCTGAAGCCTTCCAGCCATGCTTTCTATACAGCCTGTGAAACTGGAGTCAATTAAATCTCCTTTTGTTATAAATTACCCAGTCTCGGGTAGTTCCTTATAGCAATCTGAGAACAGACTAATACAGACACATTGCTGTCTCCTTGGACACAATACATCTTAAGCCAAAGCATGTTTTCTTCTTTATGGGCTTTTTTGGTCTAAAGCACACTTAACCTCTTAATCCATATATATATATGTGTGTGTATATATATATATGTGTGTGTGTGTGTGTGTGTGTGTGTGTGTATATATATATATGTAATATAGGAAGCCCTAAATGTATTTTAAGGTTCTGATGAAAAGTCATCCTTCTTATAAAGTTTTCCCAGTTCCCCTTCCACAAACCTATTATTATCACTCTCCTTTCTGTGTTAAAGCACACTGTTCATTCCACTGGGAGCTTTACCACATTATAGTTTTGTATTAATGGTACTAATAATTATCATTTACTGAGTGTTTTTGTGACTGGCATGAATGGTTATATTATTACAGATTGGCTATTCCAAGCACTATTTTTATATGAACTTTCAAACCTCCAAGCCTCCAATCACTCCCCTACTGCCTGTTGACTAAGGTCTGGTGACTTCCCCTGAAGACCCTGCCAAAAGGCCACCCCATTGTCCTCCTCATGAAGGGGCCAGACAGGGCCTCCTCAGTTGGGCTGTTTGTCTTTCTTGTCTCCCCTGGCTTCTTGCTAACTCTCCCCCAGAATCCTGAATATGACATAGTAAGTGTCTTACCACTGCCTTAACTCAGGTGCATGGGGTCAGAAATGGACCCTGGATCTGCGTGGAGATACTCTCAGATTCTGTTCCTTCCCTGTGCTCCATGCTTCGACATAGCTTATGGTTCAGTTCCACGCCTGGGTTCTCCATTCTTTACAGTGTGTGTTACTCTAGGGTCTACACAGTGCTTTCATCATGACTTTATTCTTCAAAACAAGGCTATAAAGATGAGTAGAGGGTACTGTCGCCTATTGTTGGTGGACAGGAAGATAAAGGGATGCTGTGTAAGGTGCCCAATTCAAGCATAGAAAATGCTCAAGTTGAATTCACGTCTATTTCTTTTCCTGTCCCACCATGCTGCCTCCAGTTCTGGAGACTGCTTGTTTTGCAGAGCCTTGACTTGGTTCTCAATAAACAATCTTAAGTCCTGGAAATTCTGTCTCCAATATAGTCTCCAACGTTCTGAAATTATTGTGGCAGGTCTGGACCTGATGCCTTCCTCTTATGTGGATTTTTTTTTCAGACACTGGCAATATTGCAAGTATAGTTATCATTCAATCTCAACAAAGTGTCTTCCAAATATAAAAATCTAAATAAAAACTGTCTCAAGAGATTTGAAAATACGATAATCATTCTGGTGATTGATATGATTGTTCACAGCTGAAACTCATCAGTTCTCTCATGTCTACTTCAAATAAATGTATATAATTTGGGGCAAGTCAGCTAAATTTGCTTAGCATCAGAAACTTCAAAATTGGTACAATAAAAATAGCTAATACTTGTACTAGGGACTCCTTCATGTAGCATCTTGTTTGATCCTCACAACTTTGTGAGGCAAGTACTATTATTACTTTCATTTAATGATGAGAAAACAGAGACACACAGAGCTTAAAAGTGTCCAGGGCCACATAAGTAAAATGTGCTGAATTCAGGAACTGGATGCATGAGCAATGCTCATGAATACTGTGTTGAATTTTCCTCTAATAAAACTGCCCCGCCATCAAGTATGGTTCTACTTATTAAAATGAGATGCCGCTTGTTAAAATTTAGCCTATATAATTGCTCATTACGGTGAATATGAGTTTGCATATACAGTGAGTCCTTCCTTATGTCATCAATAGGTTCCTGGAAACTGGGGTTTTAAGCACCTTGTATAAGGTGCTTAAAAGTTTTAAGCACAATGTAAAGGAAGTCAGTATTACTGTAGGCTAATTGATATGAACATGACTTAAATTCGTATGCATATTTCTGGTCACAAAAACATCATCAAACTTCAAAATAAAGACCCTAAAACACTGCTAATATTGAACATTGGAATAAATGAGAGTTATGTATACATTTAAGAAAGGCTAATAAAAACAAGTAAGATATTTATCTGGTGATTCCAGTTCAGGGGTGAACTGGAGCCTGTCTGGGCGGCTCAGGGTCTAAGGCAGGAACCAGCCCTGGACAGGACGCCATCCCATCACAGAGTGCCCTCATACACACACTCAATTCATGCAGAAGGAGGCCACTGAGACACACCAGTGAACCTAACCGCACAACTTTGGGATGTGGGAGGAAACTGAGTACCTGGAGAAAACCCACACAGAGAGTTGCCCTGACCGGAGGCAATGTTTATTCTCATCAACTTTATTACAAAACAACATTGAACAGAATGACATTATTTGAGGACCTGCCATACCTCTGCCTTGAAAAACAGGGCTGAATTAACTTAAGTGAAGTGTTTTCCTTAATTGGTGTATCTATGTGACAATATTAGTTTAGACACAGTCTCTGCTAAGAAAGACATTTGGAACCCAAACTTCAAAGACTAAAACATTCTTCTCTCAAAAGCAATTACTTGTGACTGAAAAATGCAGGAGAAAAGTTTCATGGAAACAACCTACCACCAAAATGAAACACCTTTCAAACACTTATCATCATAAATGCTACACTTGGAATAAGTCGTTTATTTTGATAAGACTTTGAGGTAAATATTCTTAGTTTCCCATGCTATAGGTGAAGAGATAGAGGTACAGAGAATGTAAGCCACTTGTCCAAAACTAGTAAGTGGCAGAGCTGGGATGGTAACCCAAGCAGTCCAGCTCCGAGCCTGTGTTTTACCTGCTTCTTGCACTGCTCCTCTCCCAGGGATTGGGAACCATGTAAAGCTAGGATCAGTTTGTGGACACAGTCTTCATGTGGGTGAAGCTCAAGTCAGAGGAATGGGTCCAACCAGTCCCCATGTGGCGAGCACCCCATGCTACGGTGATGCTCTCTGTTCACTGGCCACACCCCTGCACAGGAGCACTTGGCTCCCACCCAGGATTTCTCATTGCATTTTCACCTTTGTCTTGCTTGCTCTTTATTCCTGCATCTAAGCGACACCTGACTTTTATTTATTTATTTTAATTCCCCATTCCTGCACTGTGCTCACCCCTGCATCAGATTCCTTGTGTTATTTTCCCCTGGTCCTTGGTGCTGTGGATTTCCAGAGGAGAACCCCCCTCTGACTGTGACCTGTGCTTAGCACTTCACACAGGTGGGCATGGTCACCAGGTTCAAATTATGTGAAATACAATCACGTGTGTGATGGGTAGGAAGTCGCCACTATGGATTAATACCGTCTACAGCGTTGCCTTTTTTAGAATACCATCAAGTCTCCAGCTATGAACACGTGAGCTCTCACACCAGCTCTGGGCAAGGACTTTTCAAGTCCAATGTACAAAAGAATAGATAAGTAAAACAATACAGGACTTAGAGAAAATGTTCATTTTACTTGAAACAAAGGTTTGTCTAAAGCCTAGTACATTTTCATTCACCTAAATCTTTCCAGGTTGGAAAAAAAGGACCAGGGATTAATTTTTCAACCCATATCTGTACCTCCTATAAAATCAGATTTATTTTACTTTCCATTTGGGAAAGATATTCCTTTTAATGGCCATGTCTACTTAAGAAGCCTTCAGCTGAGGTTTAAATTAGATTGAAATATGACCTGGATTGTGAATGTATCACTCTGTCTTTAATACCATAATCGTTTCATTTCCTAGCATGGTTCAATAAATGAGAGAGAATTCATGCAAAAATGTAAGTCTGTGAAAAGGGTGACTTGGAATTATGCTCATGATTGGTGGAGAGATTCATATCCATGATGTCATAGTCATTTGACCCTGTTGCCATTCCTCGACTGGAGGAACTAGAGCAAGAGAGCATGCTTGCACCTCACTCGTGCAGGACCTGCTTCCTCCACCCAATGATGTATGGAGCAGCCTTTTAGAATATGTAGACAAATAAGATTTCTGTTCTTTGAAATTGCAAATGAAGGACTCAAAATCAAAGATATAATTAATGTTGCTTCAGAAGTTTTAATAGAAGGGGGGTTTTGTAGCTAACTGCAAAGACATGATTTTGCATGTTAACATGCTTTAAGTCACTTGCTAATATAGCATAATGCATGCAAGAAAGAACCCCAGAGTTAAAACTTACTTTTAGAAAATATGTGATTCCATTATCTAAAATGCATGCAGATGCCATAAAACTATAGTAGAAAGCTCATCCACCCTATCAAATGTAAAGAAATGTTTGTTTTTCCTGCTATATCATATGGGTTAATATGCTCTTATTGATTACGTTACATTTTATGTGACTTGAATTAAATTTGGCAAGTTGTAGCTTATTTGATATAAAACTTATACTCATCAAAATTTATCTTTTTATACAAATATATTTATATGGTTATAAAATAATATTATGTATTTATCATAGACTAAAGTACAATTATATAAAATTACACACAAGTATATAAAATATAAAAACACACAAGTATATAAAATAAATTTATATTTATACATATATAAATATACACATATTAATACACAATCATTTATATGAAAGTGGCCATGGTAAAGAGTAAAAGAAAATTTGACTTAGCAGCGTAAGACTTGGACTTAAATTCAAGATCTCTCTGTTACTGGGTTTACCTCCCTCAGCTCAGAACGCTCAATTTGTTTATCTAGCAAAAAAAAAAAAAAAAAAAAAAATCATTTCAATGCTTTCTATTTAACAAACAGAGTGTGAAAGAGCTTGCAGCAAACTCTAAAAAGTTGAACATGTGCATCATGACATCTACATATGTTATATACAGATTACACATATCTATATTATGTGTTTACAAACTATGAAATAAACGTGACCTCTCTCTCCCCATACCACCTCTTTCCTGTTCTCATTTTGAACCTAAACTCCTCCCCCTGCCATCATCATCAGCCTATCAGCTTCTCTCTTGTAATTGAAAAGCGGCATACCAGGCCAGGTGTGGTGGCTCACGCCTGTAATCCCCGTACCTTGGGAGGCCGTGGCAGGCAGACCACTTGAGGTCAGGAGTTTGTGACAAGCCTGGCCAACACGGCAAAACCCCGCCTCTACTAAAAATACAAAAATTAGCATGGTGGCGGCCGCTTGTAATCCCAGCTACTCGGGAGGCTGAGACTGGAGAATCACTTGAACCCGGGAGGCGGAGATTGCAGTGAGCAGAGATCGCGCCATTGCACTCCAGCTTGGGAGAGAGAGTGAGACTCCGTCTCAAAAACAAACAAACAAACAAACAAAAAATTAAAAAGAAAGAAAAAGAGAAAACCAGTATACCTACTGGAATATTTCTAACGAGGGGACAAAATTTAACCTTAAATAAAAGATATCACTCAGTGACGTGGTATCTCTCAGCTTTGTGGTTTAGCTAACATGTATTACATACTTACTTGGTGTCACGTGCTGGGTTAAGCACTTTTAAACTTAGTCCTGGAATAGCCATATGACATAGCTACTGTTGCCACTTTACAGAGGAGAAAAATAACTCATGGGAAGTTATATATATATATACCTGCTGAATAGCTTTTATTTTGTTTTATTTATTTCTGTTTTATGATTGTTGTTGCTGTTTTATTTTGTTATGAAATTGAGTTTATGTTAGGATGTTCAGACATCCTATTGATTACAGCAATATTCATGCAGCTCCATGAAATGCTCATTGTTCAATGTGCTCAAACAAGCGAGACGCCTCCCAGGGTGCCAACTGGGAAATGTTTATAACCAAACACGTTTTTAAAACCTGCACACAATGGAAAAGGCACAGAGAAATCAACATGCTTTTGTACATTTTTCCAAAATAACAAGAAAATACTGAAACCTTGAGAAAATTATTTTTTTAATGACTTCCCTATTGGAACTTTTTGATATTTACTAAATGTTATCATTTCCCAGAATAAACTATTATTTCTACAAAGTGCTTTTTAATTCTTCCTCCAGAAAAATCCTATGGACAATTGTTTAAGGAGAAATAAAATTCAGAATGGAAGAAAGGAGGGACAACACTAATTTACCAAGTTCCCAGCAATTTTTGGTATTCATAGTTATTCAATAATAAAAAGTTCTTATCCCAGTCTTTAGAGAAATTTATTTGACTAAATACATATTTTAAGGGGTATAATTAATATTTGAATTTTAGTAGATTTTTATAACTCTAAATCCCATGTTTTTTCATTGATTAAAAGAATAATTAAGTATTTTTAAATTATTAATTATTATTCAATTTGTGGTAACATTTTACAGTTAATTTTCAGGCACACGAGAAAAACTTATTATCATAAGTCTAAATACAAGTATTTTTAGATCTATTCCACTGGACCTAATTTGTATCTTATTATGTGGGTCTCCAAAAAATCCTAATAATTAAAATGGTTATTGGTATCAATAGCATAATTAGACCTCGAAATATAATGCTTCTGGTAACATTTGATGAAAGACTAAAAATAACACTTTCCTATATCTATTGTCATGTGCTGGACCCTGCACTAAGCATTATCTGCTAACCCTCATTGCCATCCAGGGTGAAAACCGCAATCCCCATTTTTCTTTCAGAAATCAGGATGAGAAAGGCTGAAGAAGATTTTCCCAAGGACTTACCGTAAATTAAGTGGTGATTCCAGACTTTATATTCAGCTTTTACTGACTCTAAAGCATAAAGTGGTTCCATCCTACCACTAAGCATGTGTGACTGAGTTCATGAGCCCTGTGGGGTTCATTAGTGCCGTCAGAGTGACCCTTAGCACTTGGAGCAGAATGGTCTGATTTTCTATGTCCCACAGAGTGCTTTGGACATCACATCTGTCTTCTTCATATCTCCTTTTCTGATGATTCTACCATCTTAGTCTTCTGCATTCGTGAGAACCATGCACCACCTGCTTCAGGAATCAATGGCCAACTCTTTCAAAAGATGCACAGAGAACCTTTTTCTCTCTCCAATCTTGAGAGTCACTTGTGAGAGAGGCACAGATAAACATACAAATTTGAGAAAGAAAAGCCAAGTCCAGCTGGAGAGGTGGAGAATTCAAATATACCATTTACATTAATAAACATTGATTGAGTGTCTCTGTGTCTAGAACTCAGCTAGGTCTCTTTCCTGACAAGTGAATAAATGCTATAAGATTATGTGAAGATTATATATAAGAATAAATGCATAAGATTATATGAAGTTAAAATGTTATTTTAGTGTCTTTATTAGATATCATGTGTCTAAATAGATAAAAAAGAGGGTGCTGAAAGGCGCGTCACATCATGCTCCAAACTTTTCAGGGTGGCTGCAGCCTTTGGTGTAATTTATTTTACCCTGAGGGGCTTGGACAGACCTACAGTTAAACACTGTCCCCCAGCAAGTGAATAAATGCTATTCATTGTCAGGAAAAGAAGCTGTTCAGCGTGGCTGGCTGAAGAATAGGATACTTAGAGGAGAGAGTGCCTGGAGTAACATGTGCAAGTTGAGTAGAGAGTATAAGAGTCTGTGTGCTCTGTTGAGGATTTTAAACCTTACACTATCAGCAATGAGAGTCAACCAAATTTTTAGTAGAAAAGATGTGTGTTCAATTTTATATTTTAAACAGCAACTCCAGGAGAAGAAGGGTGTGAGATTGGAAGCTATAGACATAGTTGCTGGCTGTTGATCAGATTAGTTTAAAAATGAAGAAGACCTGAGCTAATATGAAGACGAAAATTGAGCGGTAAGACAATATTTGTAAATTACTTTTCTGGAAAATTACAATAAACTAAGGGATACATTGGACAGAGGAGGGCAGTTAGGGAAGAATCAACAAGGCTGGAGGTTTCTAATTTGAGTGACTGGGCAGTTGATGGAGCCACTAACTAGTTGGAAAAGGAGTTCTTTTGCTGGGTCAGTTGAGTTTCCTTTCGGAATTGTGACTTAAAGTTGTTTTTGAATAGCCAAACGAAGTTGCTTTTGGACATAAGTGTCTATGTTTAAGAGAGGTAGAGGCAAGTGACTTGAGAATCTTGGCTATTGTGTAATAGTGAAGAACTTTTTTTTTTTTTTTTGAGACGGAGTCTGGCTCTGTCACCCAGGCTGGAGTGTAGTGGCGCGATCTCGGCTCACTGCAAGCTCCGCCTCCCGGGTTCACGCCATTCTCCTGCCTCAGCCTCCCGAGTAGCTGGGACTACAGGCGCCCGCCACTACGCCCAGCTAATTTTTTGTATTTTTAGTAGAGACGGAGTTTCACCGTGTTAGCCAGGATGGTCTCAGTCTCCTGACCTTGTGATCCACCCACCTCGGCCTCCCAAAGTGCTGGGATTACAGGCGTGAGCCACCGCGCCCCGCCAAGAACTTTCAAAAAATTGATGAAAGCAATGTTTCGATCTAGTGTACAATTGGTTATCTTTCCAGTAACACTGCATCTTTCTTACCAGATAATGCATTTAGCTAATTTGTTTTTGTTATCCATTAATGAGGATATGACAAGGAAAGAAAATCAAAGAAATGGGATGATACTGGTGGGTGCTGATCCTCAGCAGGATAAGGGGAAATACAATTTCTGCCAGATACTACTTTGAAACACAATGGATGGTGGCTCTGACAAGAGGAGGCAAGAGAGTGGGGAAATGTAGAATCATAAAGTTTTTTCTGAGTGTAAAATGAAACCCATATCTTTGAGAAGGACCGAAGTGAGAGGGAGCCCAAGAGAAAGCAGGATTGAGAATAGAGCACAAATACACTTTTCCTGGGAGCAGTATTCTTCCCAAGGAGGATGAAAAATGGCATACATCATCTATCATTTTAAAGCATATTGCCTATTTCAAAAAAATGCTGCTATCAAATATTGTATAAGTTTAGGTGAAGTTAAAATGTTATTTTAATGTCTTTATTAGGTATCATGTGTCTAAATAGATAAAAAAGAGGGTGCTAAAAGGTGCGTCACATCATGCTGAAAAGTGCGCCAAACTTTTCAGTGTGGCTGCAGCCTTTGGTGTAATTTATTTTACCCTGAGTGGCTTGGACAGACCTACAGTTAAACACTGTCCCCCAGCATATCAGCCATGTGAGCCTGTATACACACATGCACAAACACCACACACACACCAGACACACATGCACCAGACACACACACACATACACACACACACACTTTTCCTTAACCTCAGTTTTTTTTAATCTTATAAAGTGCATTAATATTACCTAAGAATATAGCAGGGATTAAAATAAACAAGGTATGTAAAGAACATTAATCTGACAATCCTTTATGTTACCTTTCCTGCTTTCAGTTTGAGAATAAATTTAAATTACATCATCTGTTGCTTTCTACTTACTATAGGCAATTTCTAAAATGCCACATCCACCTAAAAAACCTTGCTTTGTCGTTGACTTTATCCCTTGTTTTTTCCCACTGCATGCCTAATGGAAAGACTGTTCGTTTTCCCCAGTGTATCTCACAAATTGGAGATGAACAAGTGTCTTCTAGTCAGAGTTCTCTCAGGAAGACATTTACATCCATAAAGAAATCTGACTTCCCATCAGCAACTTCCTGGCTTTATCAGTTTCAAATATCTCTGCATACCTACAGCATTGAATCACAGGAAGTGTCTTCCTCTAAAACTTTCATGGGTAAAAGGAAGGGTCTCTTTAATGTTTTTTTCTTTTTTTTTTTTTTTTTTCCCTGTTGTCCAAGGAAGAAAGGGTCTCTCTGTATAGCCCTTTTCTATGCACAGGATGTAGGTTAAGCTAATGTTAAACTGAGGCACAATAAAATTTTAACGAGTTTATTTGAACACACAAATATTCATGAATCAGGCAGCTCCAAACCAGAAGTGGCTCAAGAGCTCCACTGAGGGGGAGGCGTTTATAGGATGTACATGGAAATAAAGCAAAGAAAATGTTTGATTGGTTACAGATATACAGTGGCCTTAATTGGTATATCCCATTGGGAAAAGTCCCTAGTTACATAATTATAGGTTTGTTTGCTACTTCTGATTGGTTGAGCTTGAGTTCTGTTTTTTTCTTTTAATGTAGGTATTTACAAGAAATAGCTCAAGTTAAGTTTTGCTTATGTTTACAAATCAAGCAAGGTTGAAATTATTTATGATGCCATACTGGTTTTGTCTGTTCAAGGATTCTTCAAGCCTGGTCTTCATTTGAATATACTTTGATCCTGATACGCAAAATTCTTTTCTTTTTTTTTTTTTCTTTTTTCTTTTTCTTTTCTTTCTTTTATTTATTTATTTATTTATTTTTTTAAGACAGGTATATTTGACTCATTGATTTTGGAACTGTGCATGCTATTGAATTAGAGGCCAGCAGTGAATGTCAGTCTAAACTGTTGAGTTAAGGAAGTGGTTGGCATATGGTCCCAGCTGAAGTGAGATAAAGTTAGGTATCCAGAGAACCTCTCTTCCCAGGAGACACTGCAGAGAGTTGATTCAGGACCCAGGGAAGGTCCAGGTCTGGCCTTAGTGAGAAGCAACATTTGAGTGAGTAGCCAGGAATGGGCTCTGCAGAGACAGAAGTCAGACAGGAGAACAGGTAGAGGCCCTTCAAGTATCCAGGAAGGCTCAACCTGGCAAGAAAAAAACAGGGAAGGCCACGCCCACTCAGTAAAGTCACACTACATGAAATACGATCTTTATTTTCTTACAATGGTGTCTTCATGCATTCTCCCTAAGCAAGAAGCCTTCCTAAATGAAACAAAGAAAGAACACTGCTTGTGGCTGATCGTGGTAGTACCAGGCCCCCTGGGTCTCACTTGAAGTGCTACATCCACAGTGAGAAGTCCAGGTGCACCATCTTGCAAGTGTACTTACCTCCATTATAATAGTTATTTTAAGGACATCTTTGTCCAAATCCTTAACTCTTTTCCACCAAGCTACAAATTCTCAAAGCATAGTAATCAGGTTTACATTAATTAAATTTGCATCCTTGGCATGTAACATAGCAACTGGCACATAGAAGTGTTTGGGAAGTGTTTGTATTTATATTACATTATAATAACACAGCTCTGTTCAGTATATACAGTGACTTTCACTGATTCATAAGATGTGAGAATATTTAAACGTAATCTCTGGTTTGTGTTTGTTCTTCATTTAATTCCTATTTCATGTCTGACAGTGTATCTCATTGCTGTTTTCAAGCCTGAAGTGCATCAAGTACTTAATATTGTACATACAAAGTTTCATTTTTGTATAATCAGTACAAATTATATGGATGACAATAGTGCATACTTAATTGGTACAGATTTTTTATAGAATAACCTATAGCCTAAAGAATGATAGTTTTTAAAAGAGGAAAGTGGAATTTTTTGTTCTTGTCTTTTTCTACCTCATTTCCTTATGAAGTAGTCTCTGCAAGTTGAATTGCAAAGTCAATATAATTTTTTAAAATATCTAAAATAAAATATATAAAAGCTTTCATTAGTTTCCATATCAGGCAAATTGAGATTGGAAAACCTCACTTTAACTAATTAATGTGAATTATAAAATATGTAGACAAAAGTTAAATATTATGGAAAGAAACCCATCCTCCTTAGTATTTACATGAGACTTTTATATACAATGAGGTAGTATAAATAAAACCATATAGCACAGAATCTACTGCATGAGGTGCTTAATATAATTTAATTTATATTCTTTCATTTTTAACTTCAAGTTAATTATCAAATATGTGCCTAATAGAAATTGTTTTGGAATTTGCTTTACTTAACGGATTAAAAGAGAAATCAATAGAGAAAGCCATTTGCCATATGTAATGGCTTGTTTTGCTTTTATTTTTTAAACTCAGCTTTTCAAGAGGCATCTAACTGCACAACTTACAATCAGGCTATAATATGAATTACATGTTGGCAAGTTTTGCATTAGAGCAAATGTGCACTATTTACATATCTGCAGTTTTCTATTCAATTTTCAAAGGAAAGAATTTTATATTGTAATTTATTGTTTTTTACTTGCGTCACCACTTTTACGAAAATGTAGAGGGAAGAGGCTCAGGTCAGACGAACTCCATGGTTCCTCCTAACTCTATACCACTGTCATTTATTTTCTAAGGGCATCTGAAATAAGGGCAGAACATTTAAAAGCAATCTCTGGGAATATTCTAAGAGATATATAAATTGTTGCATCTAAAGATATCTTCTAAGCATAACCTCTAGTGTATTTTTGAAAAGAATGCATAAGAGAATATGATCAAAATGCAGAAAACGTTTGGCCTTTACATTCATCATTCTCTGGACACAATTCTCTCCTGATCTGTGTGTCAACAACAAAAACACAAACAACAAAAACCACATTAATCGCAGGACACACACCGCTCCTGTGTTTTCTGCCTAATTCTCCTTCACAGGCTGTGTGTAACCCTTATTAAAATCTACAAAGCACATTTTTTGTGAAGTATTTTCTTTTCTGCTACATCATTTTTTACAGCTGTGAATTGATGGTGTGTGGGGTGGGGAGCTGGCTGACTTAGAAGATAAGCGAGACTCCAGGGCTAATTAGCTCACCCAGCTGGTCATCCTGTACTAGATAAGAATACCAAGGCGAGAACTCAGGCTGCCAACTGATATTCATGGTTTTCGTGTGGCTAACCAGATAAACTCTGTCCCTCTCTGGCTTTCCTTGAGTCCTCAGCCTTTGGGCAACTGTATGTAGCTTTAGGCTTACATTTCTCATAACTAAAGATACGTAAGCATCGGCTGGCAGGAAAAGGTTTGTTTTAGGCCAACTAAAATGCACAGGAAAGGGGGTTGAGCGCTATTTCTGTGTCAGTAGATGGAGGTTGGATTTCTACTCTACAATCTAACAAATTAAATTCAACTTATGGTAACTATTATCTATTAGATGCTTTCAGCCATTGAAAATTAAAAAAAAAAAAAATACCTCCTGTTCCTAAAGAATTCACAGAATCCTAAAAGAGCTCAGATGGGGGGACACACCAAAATCATTATCATACAGATTCTTCATTCATTAGATAACAAGGTGTAAAGCCCGATGGTGGCTATCAGGAGAAGGAAGATGGAGGAACACCAGAGCTGGCTCTGCAAGATGAGTAGGAAGTACCTGGTAGATTCTGAGGGAGAGGATTTCTAGCCAGGAAGATAGCTTGTGCACAGCTGTGACGGTAGAAACATAATGTTCTTGAAAAGTCTGAGAGTAGTGAGCCCAAAAGTGCAGAGGTGAGGGTGTGGCAGTAGCAACCGTACAAGGTCAGAACAGACAGGGTATCTTGGCAATGACTGTCAGAAGCTTGAAAAGTTTACCCAAGTGTCATACACTTATGGAGGGCTTTTAGTATTCCCCATCTTCATAGGGCCATTTTGTGTTATTCGTAGAGTTACATACGGTTCTGAGTACATGTACATGTCAGCCGGCTCTCAGGAGATCTAGGTAATTGAAAGGCAAACACTGGCTGACAAAAGTATGACTCAAATTTCCCATTTTCTCTACAGTTTTTAACCTGCTTATTTCGCCCCTAAGGGTGCTACACTCCATTTGTCTGTTACTAAATGTCTGTCTTTGTTTTTGTTTTCTTTCTTCTTTTTTTTTTTTTTTTGAGACAGAGTCTCGCTCTGTCACCCAGGCTGGAGTGCAATGGCTCGATCTCGGCTCACTGCCAGCTCCGCCTCCCAGGTTCACGCCATTCTCCTGCCTCAGCCTCCCGAGTAGCTGGGACTACAGGCGCCCGCTACCACGCCCAGCTATATTTTTGTATTTTTTGTAGAGACGAGGTTTCACCGTGTTAGCCAGGATGGTCTCGATCTCCTGACCTCATGATCCACCCGCCTCGGTCTCCCAAAGTGCTGGGATTACAGGCGTGAGCCACCACGCCCGGCTAAATGCCTGTCTTTGGATGAGCCACAGCAAATGTGACAAAATCATCATTTCCCTCAAGTATAAACACTGTGTAATCAGTAAAACTGACCATTTAGAAGTATTTTGTATGCTTCCAAATGCATTCCAAAATGCATTCCAAAATCAGAAGAAACAACTGAAATAAGTATTTAATATTTAATGAACCACTTCAAGATTTATTATTCCTATCTTGGAAGAGGAGTATATTAATGGTGGAGAGTTTTCTTTTTCTTTCTTCTTTTTTTTTTAACTAGAGAAAAGATAAGAGAAAAAAGAGATGAAAGACTTATTCTTAATTCAAAGATAATGAATGACAAAGCCATATTTTAGAAGAGAATACTAATGTTCATGAAGACACTCATGCAACATAATTATTTACCCAAAATACCATTTTGCAACGCATACAAAGCAAGTAAAAGTTTAGAGTGTAGGTCATTTTTAAATAATCCATCATTCCTGTAACCTATCCATTTTCATTCTGCTTAGAGAAAATAAGATTCTAGTAATTTTATTTGTATTATTCAGAAAATGGCATTGACACTGGAGAGAGGTGAGTTGATACCACAGTGCCTGGCACATGGAGACCCTTAGTAAGAGCCCATTATGGGAGCAAGATGGCAGAGGAGGTGGGCCTTGGGGTTGGGCAGATAGGAGTTCAAGCCATGATTTCACCCCTCATTTTCTGCCTTATAATACATTTTAGTCCATTCAGGTTGTTCTAACAAAATGCCATAGATGGTTTAAACAGCAAACACTTATTTCTCATATGTCATGCGAACTGGGGAGTCCAAGATCAGGACTTAAAGCCTGAGGTGCTTCTGCTCCCTGTTCATCGACAGTCATCTCCCAGGGCAGAGAAGAGACAGCGAGCTCTCTTGTTTCTCTTCTTATAATGACCCCAGTCCCTCTCATGGAGGCTCCATCCTCATGATCTAAGGATCTCCCAAATTGCATGTCTCCTGACATCCTTCCATTGGGGTTAAGATTTCAGTGTATAAATTACGGAGGAACACTCCTTCTATAGCATATAGAGAAGATTTTCAACCTTGTTAAAGCTTACTGTTCCCATTTTCAATGTAAACTTCACTCTACTATGTACTTAATATTAACTCATAACTAGATCTCATGAATGGGTAAATGGAGAAATGTTAATGAGCTGCTTAAAATTTTTCATTTTATAGCATCAATTTGCGAGTTCAATGAGTATTTGGCACAGCATATTTAGTGAATAAAAACCCTTAGAAATAGACATTTCGCAATTATGTGTGTGTATTCATGTGTATCTGCATCTGTGTGTATATTTGTGTATGTGTGTGTGTGGTACCTGTGTGCATCTGCAATTGTGTGTTTGTGTATGTGTATGTGTGTGTACCTGTGTGCATCTGTGTGTGCATCCATCTGTGTGGATATGTCTACCCATCTGGATCTGCATCTGTGTGTGCATCTGCATGTATATTTGTGTATGTGTATGTGTGTGTGCCCATGTACGCATCTGCTGTGTGTGCATCTCTGTGTGTGTTCCTTTGAGTAACAGACTGCTCTCCGTGTATTCAATGTAAACGTCCTGATAAGAAATAATGAGTATAAGTAAGCTGCCCACAAAGCATAAGAGTTATAAAAAACTAACTATGAACTTATGGCACCTGGGTACAACATGGAGAATAACTGAGGCCAGTCTTTTTAAGCTTAGAGCTTATGTACATAAATCCTAGAACCTTCTCTTCAGCTGAATCGGGCATCGTACCCTTTTTAGAGGCCGTGAGGAACATAGCTGTCCCATATGTGCCGTAGCAGGCAGAATTAAGCTTTTAGATGTATTTTTATTAGGAATGGTTAGTGAAATTACAAGACTTTAGTTGTAGACATTAACTTAAAGTCAATATAGGTCAACATTTTCTTACCATCAATTTATAGACAGGCAAGGTCTTCCCCTTTTGCTTTGTAACAAACAGCTTTCTTCAAATAATAATAGCCATGGTCTCATTTTCCCTTTTTTGCGTCCCATCTTCCTGGAGTCACGGTAGAGATCTTAGATGTGCCAGCATAAAGCAGGATAATGCACGTTGAGCATATAGGTCCCGACCAAGTCCCTCCCTGTGTAGCTGGTGACAATGAAGCTGGAGTGGCTCATCTCAGCTGCAGAGCTGTGTGACTTTCAGAGTCCCTGCGTCACCCTAGTTGGGCTCATACAACCTGTGGGTGGTGCCTGTCCCCAACACTTCCTCACTGTATCCCCAACTGGGCAGGCTATGGATTTTCAAGGTTTAATTTCCCTAATATCCATCAAATTATATCAGCCTCCAATGCAGAGAAGGCCATTATGTAGGTAATTAACTAATTAAAACGAAAAAATATTATAAATTAAATTTAAGAATAGTTAATTATCAAGCTTAGCCAGATCAGACAATGTGGTGTGATAGCAGTCACTGTGGTCAGGGAGCTGGGAGACGTCGTCCTGGTTCAGTTGCCCATTCACTATGTGATCTTGGTGAATACATTTACTCCAAGTATTCATTTATTTTTTGGTTGGTAAAATAAGAATTTTGAAAGATCTCCAAAATTTCTCTGACAGCATAATCCTACAAGTTTTGTTTTAAAGTTAGTAGCTGATAAACGTGCCCTTTTTCTAAAAGTTTTTTTCTGAAATATTTCAAAGCATAGGAAAAAATGCTCTCTTCCATGTGAGGTCAGTGTCTTGCTAAAGTACATTCTTTAGTAGTTCCTTGTACAATCAAGGATATTTTAATTGTATTTTTAATTTGGAGATATTTGTAGGTTAACACATAACTATCAGAGATAAGACATAGAGATCCCCTCCACCTTTTACCGAATTTTCCCTGAAGGCAACATCTTGAAAAACTGTCCGGCAGTGTCACAGCCATTGATACAGAACACTTCCAAGAAGTAGAAATTTCCACCCTACAAGGTCCTTCCAGTTGCCCTTTACCACACCCACTTGCTCCCTGCCTGCATTTTTCTCTGTAACCCTCGGCAATTAATAATCTGTTTTTCGTTTCTACAATTGTCTGATTTCAGATGTTATAAACACGTTTCAAATGTTACATACAATCCTTCTGGGAGGGGTTTTACTTACTCAGCACAAATTTCAGGAAAGGAATTCAGGTGGTTGCTTGCATCAATTGTCTGCTCATTGTGTTTGCTGAGTCATATTCACGGTAGAGTTGCAACACAGTCTGTTTAAACAGTCGCCTGTATAAGGACATCTAGGTTGCTTCTTATTCTTGGCTATTAAGAATAAAACAATCATTGATATTTGTGTATGGGTATTTGTATGAACACAGTTTTTCTCTTCTCTGGGATAAATGCCTAATGTGCATTACTGGGTTTATATGGTTGTTGCATGTTTAGCTAAACAACAATTAAAAAATAAAAACCTTCCAAACTTTTTTCCAGAGTGCATGTCCATTTTACACTCCCACCAGCCACGTATTTGTGATCCCGTTTATCAGCATCCTCGCTAGCCTTGGGTGTCCTCACCGTTTTTTATTTTAGATGTTTTCATAGGTGTGTAGTGATGTCTTACTGTGGTTTTAATTTTCATTGCACTAATGGCCAACATTATGGGCTGAATCATGTTTCTCCAAAATTCATATGTTGAAACCCTAACCCCCAGTATCTAAGAATGTGGTTATATTTGGAGACAGGTCCTTGAAAGAAGTAATTAAGTCAAAATGAGGTCTTTGGTATGGGCCCTAATCCAATCTGATTTGAGCCTTTATAAGAAGAGGGGATGAGGACACCAGAGAGACATCTCCAGAGGGGCAGCCATCTGCAGAGGACGCAGGAGGGTGGCCATCATGAAGCCCAAGAGAGATACCTCAGGAGAATTCAGTCCTGCTTGATCTTGGGCTTCCAGCCCCAGAACTGTGAGAAAATAAATGTCTGCTGTTTAAGCTGCCAGTCAATGGTGGGTGCTATTATGGAGGCACAAGTGCACTAACAGCCAGTGATCCTGAACATGTTTTTATTTCACGTGTTTATTGAGCGTTTACACAATCCTCTTTGGTGAAATGTCTCTTCATGTCTTTTGGCCCACTTCGTAATTGGAATATTTGTACTTTTACTATTAAGCTTTGAGATTTCATCTATTCTAGATACTCATTCTTAACAGCTATGTAGTTTACAAGTGTTTTCTCCTAGTCTATTGCTTGCCTTTTTAATCCTGTTAATGGGGTTTTCTACAGAGCCAAAGATTTTCATTTTTTTTTTTTTTTTTTTTTTTTTTTTTTTTTTTTGAGACGGAGTCTCGCTCTGTCGCCCAGGCTGGAGTGCAGTGGCGCGATCTCGACTCACTGCAAGCTCCGCCTCCCGGGTTCACGCCATTCTCCTGCCTCAGCCTCCTGTGTAGCTGGGACTACAGGCACGCGCCACCATGCCCGGCTAATTTTTGTATTTTTAGTAGAGACGGGGTTTCACCGTGTTAGCCAGGATGGTCTCGATCTCCTGACCTCGTGATCCGCCCGTCTCGGCCTCCCAAAGTGCTGGGATTACAGGCGTGAGCCACCGCGCCCGGCCAAGATTTTCATTTTGATGAAGTCTAATTTACTACTTTGTCCTTCTGTAGATTATTTGTTTTGGTGTCAAGTCTAAGAACGTATTGCCCAGCTGTCAATCTCTGAGGTTTCCTCTTATGTTTTATCTAAAAGTTTCATCAGGTTACATTTTATATTTAAGTACAAGATCTACTTTGAGTTAATTATTATATGAGGTGTGAAGTTTAGGTCAAAATTATTTTTTTTAACTCTAAATATTAAACTGCTCCAGCACCATTTGTTAAAAAGGGTATTCATTTATAAATGCATTGCCTTAGCACTTTCAACAAAAAACAGTTGGTCATATTTATTTTGGTCAATTTCTGGATTTTCTGTTCTGTTCAATCGATTTATGTGTTTATCTCTCTGCCAATACCACACTGTCTCAATTAATGCAGCTATATAATAGACTTTAATATTGGGTGGAGTGATTTTTTCCACTTTCTTTTTCATTTTGAAGGTTATTTTTAGCTATCCTGTGGCCTTTGTATTTTCATATAAATTAATAATAAGCTTGCTTACAATGGAATAAATGCTTCAGGAAATACTGAACTAGGAGAATCATAAACTTGTGTCCAACCTAAGTCCCACCTAAGCCGTCTGGACACAGGCATTTGGGAGGCCAGCTTCTAACATCAAGGTCAAAGGACAGGAGAAGAATTCTGAACAAGAAACAAATATTAAATGGCCTGGTCTTGTTTTAAAAGAGGGATATGTAATAAAAGTGTTTTAGCCATAACTCTCTTAGTGACAAATGACAGAAACCTACTCAATTTGACTTAAATAAAAAATGAAATAGAATACATCAAGAAACTGAGATGTTCGAGGTAGAAATTCAATGGATCCTGGTGGTCTTTATCATTCTTCCAAGTAAGATTGCCTTCCTGCAGACTCATGCATGTACATCGTCTACGCCCATCAGCAGCTCCGAGTTTACATTCTTCACAATTAGCAGGAAGTCTCAGCATGGAGGCAATGATCCTTTCCCAACATTCTCAGCAAAAGCAAAGGGAAGCCTTGGTGAACTGGCTTTGGTCCCATGACCATGACTGAGGCAGTTCTCATGGCTGCTGAATAGGTCCTTTTATTGGACTAACATTTAGTTAATGTATACTTAGAATTTTCAGAATTCCAGTCATGGCTCGAAAGCCCAGACCTGGAACCTGAAAATTGGGTGATCTCATTTTCAGGTTCCAGTACATTTCCCATAGTTCCATTTCCTGAGAGGGTGTTTTACTGAGGGAAGAGATTTGGGTTCTGAAACTAGAAGGTGAAGAGCTGGGCGGTAAGACAAAATAGAATGAGAGCAGCAGCAGCAACACATATTCAGCATAGGAGGAGGATCTAGTACAATAGTTATCCCAAAATAATAGCTGCCACTGTTAAGTTCTTCTATGCTTTCCTTTTCATTTATCCTCATAATCATCATTGCAGATGGAGTTATGAGGAATATTTTATTGATGAAGAAAATCTACTCAGTAGCTTAGATCACACGGCTTGTGAGTACAGAGCTAGTCTTTATATCTTGCTCATGCACTTAATCAATATGCTAGACTGTGCGGATATGCCCCATTGGCTTACAAATAGAGTGCCTAGATTAATTAGAACATATATGAACAATATGTCCCGAAGCACCTGTTCTCTCTTGCTTGCGAACAGGTGCTGAACTAAACTATTGTGAATCTGAATTTCACACTAGGATTCAAACCCAGACTTTTCAATCCTGGCTAATGTTCTTTTTTGTACATCTACCATCCAGTGATTTTTATGGTAAAAACTGGTATTTACACAATTTGTAATTTTGTCTGCTATGTGTATGGTGCAGATCTTTGAAGTCTATTTTTTTTTGTTTCAAAGTTTATTCTAGATTAAAGGGTATATGTGGAGTTTTGTTTCATGGGTAAATTTTATGACATTGAGGCTTGGGGTTCCAATGCTTTAGTCACCCAGGCAGTAAGCATAGTTTCCAATAGGTGGTTCTTCAGCCTACATCCTCTCTACCTCCAATCTCCATCTAGTGATCCCCAGTATTTATTGTTCTCATGTTTATGTTCATGTTTATTCAATGCTTAGCTCCCTCTTATAGGTGAGAACATGCCATATTTGGTTTTCTATTCTTATGCTAGTTTGGTCACTTAGCATAATGACCTCCAGCTCCATTTATGTTGCTGGAAAGGACATGATTGTATTCTTTCTTATGGTTGCATAGTGGTTCATGGTATAAGTATACCACGTTTTCTTCATTCAATCCACTGTTGATGGGCACTTAGGTTGACTCCATGTCCCTGCTATTGTAAATCACTCTGCAATGAACCTATGAGTACATGTATCCTTCTGATAGAATAAATTATTTCCCTCTGGGTATATACCCAGTGAGGGGATTGCTAGGTTGAATAGTAGTAGAGTAAGACAGTATTCAAGATATTTGTCCACCCATCAGCTATTTGGCGCCAAAGATATGCACCTCCAAATCACAGTTTCTCACCTTTTCTAGGATAGTGAGAGACTCCTGCCCAAGGAGATGACTTATCCTCTCTGATTCTCAGAAACTCTGATGGGCACAGAAAATCTGCAGAAGTTAATGGAAACATTTTGCTTTCTCTAGCCTAGGTCCCATGCCATGTCTCTGAGAGGTAGGAATATGCTGAGATGAAGAGAAGATGCTACAGAAAGGAGTAAAGAGGAGGACTGTTTTTGCTCCACACGATGACGGCCTCTGTCATTTGAAACAATGTTTTATGTGTAGGCATTGGTGCAGAGAAACTAATAAATGAGTTTTCACATTTACCCAGAAAGAAATCAAGTTCCCTACATCCTTTGGCCCAACAAGTTTTATGCCAAAGTAATGCCGAACTACTAGAAATCTCCTGGGTTTCTCTGTGGGTCCCCATGCTATAAGTGAGATAACCAGCTAAGTCGCTCTGACTTCCAGGAAACTCATGCCTCTCTGAGTTAAAATATACAGTGCACATTGGAAGCAAAGGCATCTTTATAAATGAGAGTGCCAGAGCTTCAAAAAACAAAACATATAGTATGGCATTTTATAGATTTGCCACAACACTAACAACTATGTAGAATTCAGGAAAATGCCATGTAGCACATTTTCAAGCTGCAATACCTTACTTGCAAGAATGCAGAATTCAGCACATTGGAGAAACTCTGGAAGAGAAAATCTACATTTGAAAATGATCACGGTGAAAAAAAGTTTTTCTTGTAAAAGATACAGCGTCTCAGAAAATTGAGGAACATAGGAAAGATAAAATTGCAATCGAAGTGCTAACCTCAGCTCTGCATTCTGCACGCTTTGCCATGGCTTTCCCATCATTCTTCAGTGAAACACAGTGGGAAAGTAACATATGGAAGCCCCAGGTCTGTGATGAGAAGCAACCTGGCCCTTTGCTGAACGGCAGTGTTGAGTTTTTCCCCATGAAAGCAAGGACAATATACACAGCATTATCTTAAAGTTTGAATGGCATTATCTATAGTGATCTACACAGGGAGGAGGGTAACGTTGCTATTTTTAACATAGATGGTTTAGTTCAACACGCTTTCAGCATCTAATAAGTCATAGTGCTTTTACTTGGCACTGGGGATATTGAGATGAAAAAATAGTCTCTGCCACTGAGAGAGAGACAGCAACAGAGCAGAAATATTAGTGCGTGCAGCAAGTTGAGTGGCTCAGCTTGGAAGGCAAGGTCTAGATATGCAATTGTATTTTCCAACGAAGTGACAAGTCAGTGACGAGGTTCTATGCCTCAATTTGCTGGAAATTGAATATGGAAATGTTTTTGTTTTACTTTGCTCCCATTTCCTTTTCTTTTTCTTTCCTGTAGCATTTGCTTCTAGTGGGAGAAGAAAAACACTTTTTTCCTCAATTATCATGAGTTTTTCATTGGAATGAACCCCTGTAACAAAAGACAGACTAACAAGTGAAAAACAAACAGAAGTTTATTAACATGCATATTTCACATATACATGAGAGATACCTAGGGAGTGAGAATTTTCAGTCAGATGGCTCTGATTTCCAGCTTACGCAGCATCCTCAACAAAGAGCAGTACATTTTTAGAGAAACGACAGGGCAAGGGAAAGAAATCTGAGTCCCTAGGGGTGGCAACCCTTGGGGAAGGCAGGTAACTGGCAGTTGCGGGCTAGTTAGGGAACTTTGTTAGTGTGGAGTTTTTCCGCTGTTCTCCAAGCCAGAAAGGGTCTAAACTTGCCTTAAGGGGGTTAACCTTTGTTTTTACTTGTAGAAAGGGAGGTGGAATATCTTTGGTCTTTGTAAATCAATTCCCTACGTTTAGGCAAACAGAGGTAGTGCAGAGAGCACTCTTGTATCTGCTGTTTCTTAATGGCCTTGAGCTCAACAATCCTTAGGCAAAAGAGGCATATTTTGAGGTGGCATATTCTGATTTTCCACATATCTTAAGAGGGGAGCCTTGGGGACCCCAAAGCTTCATTTCAAGCCCTAGGAATGGCAGTGGAGAAGGAATCTTTGAGTCAGGGTTCAGTGCCAACAATTCTACCATGTCTTCATCTACTGCTACTCATAGCCTGTATCACTGTAAATGGTAAATCCAAGGGAATTCCACAGTCAGTGACATGTAACACCCTGGACAACTTATTAGGGCCACCCACGAAACAATATTAATCTTCCACCAACTATGTTGACCTGCCATATATATATATATATATATATAGCCTATCTCAAGGTGTTTTGTTTCTAATGAAACATATTATGTATAAGATTACACATTATGTGTAATGATTATACATTATGTGTAATGATTACACATTATGTGTAAGAAACACATTGATGGGAATCTGTGTTAATGTCAGTGGCTTTCCGATGGGAGTCCACTATCAATCAGCCAGATCCAGTCCTGAATGTCTGGTGCCCTGTGGGCTATCTTCTCAAAGTTTGCTCATGTGGCAAATAAGTTTAGGTATTCCTGATTGCACTATTAACTCAGTTTTTTCTTGACATAGAGCCTGGTTCCAATGCCAGAAATAAAAAAAAGAAGTATCTATATCTATATCTATACATTTATGGAATGGAGTAAAATTCTGGTGACATCGATTCTTATTATTCAGATCGTTCAAAAGATATGACTTACTATTGTCCTTGAATCTTTACAACTCAAAACTAGGCTTCTCAATGAACTGAAAATCAAGCAGATGTGCGGGTACAGTGGCCTGAAGAGAAATCAGAAGTTCTTGAATTTTTCTTCTAAGTGATACAATTTGTTTACTTTTCAAACAGAGCTGAAGAAAATAGTTTCAGCCTTCCCGTTCCCCATCCTTAGCTGTCCTGCGGCACACACGTGGAGTAAGCAGAGAGGGGCGTGGTCCAGCCTACTGCATCAATGATGGTGCTGCCCTGTGTCTGTTCAGCATTGAAAACTATGTTCATGTGAAAATCGTGAGTAAAATTAATAAATCATAAATATAGGACTCAGCCAGGATCTGATTTTAAAGCTAAGGTGCTACAGTAATACTGCTGTGTGTTTTTAAAATGTTTATGTAATTATGTCTCCATTGTAATTATGGAGAGCTTTAAAATGCCTGGGTTGTTTGTAACGGTCCTTATTGATTATCCTAGTTGCATTGTGAGCCGCAATGTTTTTACATTCATCAGGAAGAATAAGACGAAAAAATACAAAGCACAACGGCACTTGGAGATTCAGCTCATGCTGGTGCAGGGGGTTGAACTGCGTGCTTCTTTCTTTTTAAGTATTCATCCTTAACATGTATCAAACTTAGAGATTAACACAATATTTGGGAGAGGAGATAATGTGCCTCATATCTATTTTTTCCTGAGCAGAATGGTCTTCACTGACCTCCGGATGTTAGTCCCTGTGAGTACTGATTCATTTTATCTTTACTTCATATGACATGAATGGGATTCACTGGTACTTTAGCTTGAGTCACAAGTGGTTTTTTACTGATAATGAAAACCTTTATTATAGTTAGCAGATAGAGAATGGCAGAGAAAAAGGGTGTCCCCGAATCCTAGCTAGGGTGTGCATAGTGCTCTTAATGGAAATTGATTTTGATTATTTTGACTTTTCACAAACTGCCAGGCAGAATTGTGCATATAAATGAATAAGTCAAATGTTAACAAACAGCCTCTCACTTGATCATTTGAAATCTGAAGGCCTTCAGCAGTTTTCCCCCATCCTAGTGCTACATTATAATCACCTGAGAGCTTTTCAAACCCCACGCTTGGTCCACACTGCAGAGCAATGACATCAGATCCTCAGGGGTGGCAACCGGGCATCCATACTTTTTAGGTCCCTCACCCGCTTCCAAGTACAGTAAAGGTTGAGAGCTACTACCTTAGGCATTAAATGTGGAGTCCTGTACTTGTAATTAAGGTAGAACTACTACCTTTGTTAATAAATTTGAAGTGCATTTAAAAACAGTGTGGTAAATAGTAATATTAGCAGTAGCAGTAGATAATTATGATGATGGTGGTAATAACAGTTCTTTAGTAATAGCTACTTAATTTCTATGTTCATAGCCCTTTGATAAGCACATTGTATTTATTTTATCACTGATTCCTCACAGCAACCTTAAGAGACAGGAATTTTTACTGTCTCCATTGCATAATAAGGGAATTTGGGTTAGAGAAAATGTAGACAACTTGTCCAATATTATATATTTATTCAGAGGTAGAGCTGGGCTGGGATTTGAATCTGGATCTGCCTAACTAGAGTCATAGAGCTTGACCATTGAGGTTCTAATTTCAAAAAGCCCTTCACAGCTAATATCTCATCTTCATTCTACTAAGATGTATTCATTTTACCTAATTCAGCACTAATTTTTTTCACTTTTCAACATGGAAATACACCCAATGATTCCAAATATACCACAGCAACCTATGTTCCTAGTCTTTATTGAGATCAACACACATGTTATATATTCCAGAAATGAACATTACAAGTTTACCCTTCTGATGTACAACTGTTTCATTCTTTTATTCACATCACACACACACACACACACACACACACACACACACACACACATATAAGACTCATGGCTAAGTTTAGAACTTTCTCTCTTGCCAACTACTTTGCTATATATAGACATAGAACCTGACCTCACTTACTTCCTGGTCAAGTGAGATGTACTGGCATGAAAACACACAAATTTATAATATCGTACATACAATGATTACAAACAACATAAATATTAAGATGGTACTATAAAATAGCTGGAGGACTCTAAAACTATGAAAACTATTATGTAATTTTTTAAAAAATTAAAAAGAAAAAATCTGTAAAAATAGAAAACTAATAGAAATAAATGGACCTAAAATATATCAGCTGGGTAGTACAGGAAGTCAGATAATGATTAAGTTACTCTAAAACCCAAGTATATTCAAACCTAAAAGTAAACACAAGGTATCTGGTATGGTTTTCATGTTTGCCCCCACCCAAATCTCACACTGAAATGTAATCACCAATGTTGGAGGTGGGGCTGGCTGGGAAATGTTAGCATCGTGGGGGCAGATCCCTCATGAATGGTTTACAGCATCCACTTGGTGAGAACTGAGCTCTTGCTTTGATTTCACAGGAGATCTGGTCATTTAAAAGCATGTGGCCCTTTTCCTTACCCTCGCTTGGTCCTCCTTTTGCCGTTGATGTTCCTGTTCCTCCTTCACCTCCTGCCATGGTTGGAAGCTTCCTGAGGCCTCTCCAGAAGCAAATGCCAAAGCTATGCTTCCTGTACAGCCTGCGGAACCATGAGCCAATTAAACCCATTTTCTTTATACATTATCCAGTCTCATGTATTTCTTTACAGCAATGAAAGAAAAACCTAACACAGTATCTTATATTGCATCTGGTAATCTATAACAGCTTTGTTATAATATATTTGTTCTGTCAGCAATATTGACATTACTACCTTGTTTTTGAGACTATTGCATATGCCTAGCATAGTTTAAATAGGATAAAGAAAATGTGTTTTTATTAGTATAATTAGAAAGGAAGATTTTCATCATAAGAGAAAGGAAATACAAAAATAAAAAGAGAATTTCAATAAAAATAAAATCATATAATCTTTACATAAATTAAAAAAGTATTATAAACTCATGTTTTTTTATCTTTTAAGAAATATGTATTGAAGTAATCAAAAGCCATGACCAATTAACATTTAATCCCCTATGATATCTAAACACTATTTCACTATAAGGAACCAGGACTCCCTGAACTAGCTGACTCTAGGATAGGAGCAAAATATGTATTAGTTTGAACTGTATTACGTTGTCCCTTTGTAGGTTCAAAATGGTTGAATTTCAGCAATTTAAAAGGTCTCGTCTAATAAAATATGAGCCTGGGACACTTGGTCATGTCGAAAGCAAAGAAATGATCACCAATGAACAAGAGGCCGTCTATATAAGAAGCAACTTGAAAAATGGATTTCTGCTGCCTTTGATGAGAAAATTTGAGCAACCAAGAGAATGTCAACTGCAGAGGAGTGAATTACACCATAAAAATCATTTGAGAATGTACACACACATATACATACACACAAATGTGCACACATCCATTCATTTATAATAATACATTTTTAAAAGTAATAACCTTATTGATCAACTTTGGAGTTTGCTAGGGCACCTTCTGATTATTCTAAATATTGCTAAGTAAAAGAAGATGACAACATTTATCTTGCCTTTCTGGTATGGACTGCATTTTAGAAAACAAAATACTTGATGAGGCTAAGTTTGTTGTAGAAAAAATTATAAAAAGGACAAATTTTCGAATTTAGAAATTACCATTTTGCTACTTCCAATGAAATAATGGTGCTAGGTAACAAATATTTGTTTTCTTTTGTTTCCTTCTTTACCATGGGTGAAATCCACTGGGAAAGATTGACAGGGATGTCATTGATGAATGGATCAGATTGATAATGTCTGAACCCAGATATTAATTTTACTGTTTTAAAAGTGGAACAATAAGATTGTATATACTTCTCTGATATGGTGCAATAGGAAATGCTTGATACCCTATTTCAATTATTCATATATGCATACATACAAAACGAACTTAATCAAGCATTTAATCAAGTTTCATCTATCTATATATACAGCCTGAATGTAATCAAGCATCTAGACTTAATTGCCCAGTTAATAAGAAATAAGATAAAAGAACATAGTAAATAGCAAGAGATACAATGAATCAAATCCAGACTCTGAGAAATTATACCATCTCTTCAAGAAAGAAAAAGCTTGGGGGAAATGTAGGAGGTAAGTGTTATAGACTGAGGGAGGTGGAAGTTCCACATCAAGAAAGTACAGTGTGAGAATCTCCTCTAATCCTTATTTGAATAAGCCAACAGAAGATACACGTTGAAAAAATTGAGGACAATTGATGACATACTGGGGAAGAAATGACATAATCATAAATTGTTTACAGATGGGAAACAAAACTTTTTAGAATGTATATGAACATATTCACAGATGTCTAAAATTTGTTTTGAAAATTTCTAGCAAACAACAACACAAAACCAACAAATACATCAAGGAAATGATAGAAGAATCACAAAGGACTGAAGATTGACAAATGTTGAGGCTGGAAGAAGTTCTATTTTGGGGTGTGTTTGGGCATTAAATACAAAGCTTTAAAAAATATGGAAAGGTGTCTGGAAATGTGATACTAAGGAGATGAAGACAATTAAGAATTTTATAAGATCAATAGGAGCTTCATTGTTCACCTGGAGAAGAATTTCAAGCCATCGGAACAGCCTGTAAAAGGCATGGGCTTCTGGAATCACATGGCAGGTCTGCTCACCAACAGCATTTCAGTGTTACTGAGGCATCAGCCACAAGGCATGGTGTGGCAGGGGAAGTAACAGATTTTTTGATGGACAGAGAGACAGAGTTGGAAAAGAAAAGAAAATGGAAGAGAAAACAGATTTTGAAGCGAGAATTCCAGCCTAGCACACTTTAGATTCATCTCCAAGAAAAGTCACTTAACCTCCCTGAGTCTTTAGTTTTTCATTTGGAAAATGAAGTAGAGCTTGTCTACCTCTCAGCATAATCAGGAAGATCAAAGGAGAGAACAGGTGAGCAAATCCATTTCAGACTCCAAAGCTCTGTGCATGTGTTAGTCCTCATCACTACTATTGCTGGTTATGTGCAGTACACACTCATAAAACTCTGGGCCTAGAAAAATGGTTTCTGACGTTAGAAAATATGTAACTCCACTTCAATTTAGTATTGGCTGTTTTGTTGATATTGTTGCTGAATAATGGTAAAATCATTTCTGAAATCACTTTGATGAATTATAATCATGAGATTGTAATGACCAAATAGTACTTGTTTCTGTCACGAAATACCTAACACAAAATTATGTTACATAATTAAGCATATTCTGGGAGTAGGTTAAAAAAACTAATTTACTAGATATTGAATTTCACCATTGTGCTCTGAAGAACATCCATTAAATATTTGATAACTTCATTAAAAAAACTATTGTAATTGATTTATGAAATTGTTAATTGGATTTTTGCACAATAGAGAGAGTTATAGGGGACACATAGAAAGCAATTGGAAGACTCATAAGGAAAACATTAAATATTTTATTTTTTATTTGGATTCCTTTTTGCACTATACTGATCTGTCATCTTCCTTTAACGCATAACCTTTGTGGGTGTTGGCGTGTGTGGGTGGGGTGTCAACAAACGCTCCTTGATTTTGGTCACAGCTCAGGGACATCTGGTGGGTCCCGATACTCAGCTGTGATTCTGTCAACATGCAGATCTTTTTAGTTTCCTAGCCGTCTGTGGCTCATAGACAGCCCCATTAACTCAGCCTTCCCTATTCTTTTCACGTGTCATATAATCATGATAATGAACCAGGAAGTGGCTATTTGAGAAATGCACAATAGACAGGACCAATTTATCATGTTCTGTTAAATGAAAGAGTAACAATAAAAACAAAATTGCCCATGACAGTGCGAAGCCTTCTGAAGGATTTATGATGAGTGGATGGCAGCACAACAGCCTTACCAGCCGTGGCCTCTGCCCAGAGCAGCAGATGACTCTTAAAAATTTATGGCACGCATCAGTAACCTTTAACAACCCTGGACAAGGCATGCACACTTATTTACATATGTGCAAACACCCTTCATTGAACTCTGTGACACTAAGAATTTTTGTAAATAGATGTCAGAGCCTTTAGACAGAAGCTAAATGAGGAAGGAGCGTTGGTCTTTTGTGGGAAGTGAGCTCACTCATTCCAGATTACAGAGAAGACTGGCAGAAATATCAGAAGAACAACATTTATAGATTCATGGAACTGGAGAGTTGGAAAGAAACTTCAATATTTTTCCATGTGTACTAGACATGCTTATTAGACACTAATGATAGGTTTCAGTCCATCTTGATGGTTATGATAACTAGAAAGTTCTTTCTTGTATTGCATTTTTACTCATTGGTATTAGTTGTGCCTTCTGGGGTCAGCAGATAAGTTGCATACACTTCTCAAATATTTGAAAACATAAAAATAAGTTTGTTTTTTCTCTTAGCAAATTTTTCTGCCATTTTTCTCCTTCAAAGGATTTGTTTTCTTATTATTTTATCATTCTGACCAGGTTCACCTTGGCTTAGCTTAGTTTGTCCAAGATTTTATACAATTTATTTGAAAAAAAAGGGCTATAAGCCCCCAGGAAGCCAAAACAAAATGAAAAACAGTTACTTATTTGTCATTTTCCTTGAGGGCATATGTATGTATGTAGCCCCTTCTCCCTCAAAATCTGAGGCAGAGCTCCACATATAACTTAAAAAATGAATTCAGTTAGACAAGCGCAGAGGTGAATATAAATTAATATGATCTACATAAACAGTATCTCATATTCATTCCCAAATCATGCAGCTTGATTTGGAAAATTAATATGAGGTATTGTTTATGATGTTTTTTAATATGATGTACTTGATTTGGGAAATCAAGCAGCATGGTTAGAAAACTGATACATATATACATACATACATACATATATACATACATACATAACTAATACAATGTGATAATGAGATCTACTTTTGTAAATGTCTTAGTGTTAAAGTATTGTATAGGAGAGCTTTGATCCTAGTACATATTGGCAAACCTTAGAGATAAACAAGATCCAAGTTGAAAGGAGAATGAAGTCAAAGTTTATCTCGTTTCTCAGGCCACTGTCTTTCTTTCTTGCTTTGTTTTTCTCTTTAACATCCCCGCTACTTAATCTATCATCCCAGCATTGAATCATTCATTTATTCCACTTGTTTATCATCTGTCTGTTGTCACTGGACTATAACCCACCTGATAACATGGTATATCATTTTTTTAACTGCTCTATCCTCAGTTTTCAGACTGAGTGTCTAACTTGTAGTTGGTATTTTATAAATATTGGTTGGTTGAGTAGTAAAACAGACAGGGAACCAAATTTATTTGCAGAAATCATTTATAGCTGTTCAGTTGAAAAAAAAATGTATCTCATGTTCAAATATCTCTGAGAAATACTGAGTTTAAAGGAAATAACATGTTATATCCCAAAAGAACAATGTAGCATGCCAAACTTCCAAAGTTTTCTCCTCTTTATGTTAAAGAAATTATAAAACATTTTAAATTTCAAACATACAGGAAAGCAAATAGAAACAAATATATGCACAGCTGAGATTAAAGTTCTGTTAATATTTTTGCATTATATGCTTTTGATTATTCACTTTTTAATGCGACACATGTAATAGGTATATGTAAGCCACCAGCTTCGAATGCTGTCTCCATTCACCACCCTCAGTGGTAATCACTTCCCTGGAATTGGAGTGTGGATTTCCCATTTGCTTTACCATTCAATAAAATAGTATTTATTTAATACCAACTATGAGTTAGACACTGTATAAGAACTAAGGATGAAGCAATTTTTAAAAAAAGATATTAGGTGGGTGCAAAAGTTATTGCAGGTTTTGCCATTAGAAGCAATTGAGGTTTATGGCCCTCACTTTTAATGGCAAAAACTGAAATTACTTTTGCACCAATATTATCACATAGGTTGCAGTTTAGTAGGAGCAGACAGATGATTAATTAGATAAATAAATGAATGAATGAAGACATGAATAATAGATTATGTAGTGATGATGTTTTTTGAGAATAATAAAGCGAAAGAGAGTGGCCTGAGAAAGCTTCATTGAAAGTGGAACATTCTCATCAGGATCTGAAGGAAGTGCTACAGTGGGCCTCTGGCCATCTGGGGAAGAGGGTTCTGAACAGAAAGAGCCATGCGAAGACTCAAAGAGTGACCTTGCCTGGTGTGTTCAAAACCAGCATGGCAGCCAGTGAGACTAGAGTGGAGACAGTCAGGGGGTGGTGGCCAGTAGAAGGTGAAGCCAAAAGCAGAACTGGGAGTCTAATGGTGTGGCCTGAGACACTGCAGCACTTGAATGAGATGAAGGGATTGGGACAGAAGTGTCCCCTGATCTGATGTTCAGGGTGACATAATCACGCTGGAAATTTCACCTTCTCTCTTGGGCCTTGCCTTTTTCCTCAATAATATGCTTTGTGGAATATTCACGTTGTTGAAGATAACTGTAGATTTTTTTTAATTTTATGTAATATCATTTGTATAAACATACCACAATATATGTATCTATTCTATAAGGCATAGGAATCTGAGTAGTTTCTAGGTTCGACTATTTCAGAAAATGCACCTATGAATATTCTAGGATATATCCTGGTACTCGTGAGCAATAACTTCTCGGGGGCAGATACCTAGGAGCAGAATTACTGGTCATGTGTTCACACATACTGAAGTTTTACTGGGTATTGCCAGAAGACTGTTCTGTGTATTTGCACTGGTTTTTATTTTGGCCAGCAGCATACAAGAGTTCCCATTGCTCCACACTGCCATAAATGTTTGGTCAGACTTAAATGCATTCCTAGTTATGGTGTCTTGATGTAGATATCTTGTTTTGTAAATTTTATTTGTTATTTTTAATCCATATCTCTATGTATCTTTTTTCATTGGTATATTATAGTGTTTTTTTTTTATTTTTTTAACATAGATTGGGTATTAATTCTTTGTTAGCTATATGTTTTGCAAGTTTTTCTTCCCATTCTGTGGCTTGACTTTTCATTTTTCTTATGGTGTCTTTTAATTTTTTTAATCTTAATTTTAGCAAAGCAAATTTTATAATCTTTTACTTTATGCTTAATAATTTCATATCCTTTTGAAAAACTCTTTCCCTCTGCTGAGGTTATGACCATATTTTATATTTTATTTTAAAGGCCTTTTGCTATTTATATCCTCATTTTTAACTTAAGGGGAATTAATATACACATAGCCTAAAATAAGTGTTTACTATTTTTAATAACCTAGACACCCAATTAAATAGATTAATTATAACTTTATTTGAGTCAATTTGCATATTTACATAAAATGGATAAATTCTTAGAAAACTATAACTTAACCAAACTAGCCCACAGTGAAATCTAAATAATCTTAAATTCAATAAAATCACAACATCTGCAGTAAATTCATCTCACAATCAAAACGCAAAGCTGAAAGACTTCACCGACAACTTTTGCCAATTATTCAATAACAAATTTAAAAATGTTTAAACATTTCCAGAAGATGGAAGATGAGCAAATACTCCTCAACTCATTTTATAAGGTTATCATAATCATGTTAATCAAAGAAAAGTAACAAGAGAAGATACTATGAGAAAGAAACACCACAGGCTAATCTCATCTATGTCAACATGGGTAGAAAATCTAAACAAAATACAGACAATCAAATTCAACAATATTTAATACGGCCCAGTTAGGAGATAATCATAACCCCAAAAGACACAATCTCAGGTGCCAAAATCTTGAGTGCTAAAATCCAGGAAGACTAAAATCCTGAAAATATAATTATGGAAAAAATAATAAAAATGAAAAATATTTAAAGATACTCATTTTTATCTTTAGAAAGAGAGTTATTTGAGAAATAAGAAAACGTGACAGAGCACTTCTTAGGTTATTTTACAATAAAATAGGAGATAATAATATACATATTTTAGCAAGCATAAATACTCAGATACATTAATGACAGTTATACAGGTATAACAGTTATGAGTCAAACCATAAAGCAACAGATCAAAAACTGAAATGTAGAAATGCACTTTATTATGTCTTGTTATGTGGTGCACCCAGCTTCATAGTGCAGTCATTTGAAATACGATGAAAGACAACTTAACAACTCTTGACAAAGTTGATAAAAAACCGTGATGGGTCCCCACCGCATATGGAATCACCCAAAGAGCTGAGGTCTAGAGAAACCTTACCTTTCACAAATGCAGATGCACAAAAAGAGGTATCTCTTCATTTATTGAGGAAGTTTCAATGTTTTTACACACGTGCACAGTGCTTACACACAAAGCCAACTTTGTGATTATGCGCTTTGATGGAGTCATATTTGTAAAAAAATGCATAAAACAAATAAGAACTCTCTAAAAGTGTTTACACAATTTATACCTCCAGTGGTGGAAATGATGCAAAGATGAAATACGTAGTATAGTGAATTGTAAAAAATAAGTGTATTACAGGGATAGATGTTAGGACGTCCTCTTTTCAGATATGTTCACATTCATTTCCATGTGGCGCTGCTCAGTTTGAAATTCTTTCATGAACTGATATACACCAACAAGAGCATTCTGTAATAATTTTTCCCATCTTCTCTGCCACACTTCTATGCTGTTTTGGGTACACAGAAATTTATTCCGCATGCGCTCATATATAGGCCACATATTTGGCAGGAACAATTATTGGTGATCGACCAACAGCACTTTTGTACGTCTTCTTCTTCCACCATGCATGTAATTATTTTTGAACCAGTCAGTAACTTCGCTGGCTTCTTACAGCAAATATGGCTTTAATTCATTAAAAGGTCCTGAAATGTCATCAGTTGGAAAGAATGCTGATGCAGGCAAATAGCATATTTTTAAACTGAAGTTTCCATTGTTTTCGTATCTTATAGCTAATCCACTCATCTGATTTTTCTGCCAAATGCATTGGGCTGAAGGTTAAAAACAACAACAACAACAGTAACAAAACCCTTTATTGGTAACGTCTTGAAATTTACTTTTCAAAGCCTGATTGCACCTAATTCCAAAACTGGCATGGTTTGAGGATTCGACTGAAATCTATTTTCTGCTGCATAAAGAAAATAACAAGGTGATAGTTCTGCCTAACACGAGGCAACTAACTATCCTGCGACAGTGATTTTCAGGATTTTAGACATTAGGGATTTTCAACTTTAGGGACTTAGACGTTAGGGATTCTGATCTTTAGGGATTTCAACATTTGGGACTATGGCATTCAGGATTGTGTCTTTCCAGATTATGATCCAAACCCAACCCAGTACAACTCCCTGCTTCCAGCCCCCTGTAATCAATACCTGATTTAACTTTTGAAAGTCAATAAATGTCAGAAAATAAATTAACAGATTAAAAGTCAGAGAATGGGAGAAAAATATTGCAACATGTATAGCCAACCAAGAACTAGTCCGGACTATATAAAGAACTACAGCATATCAATAATAATAAAGAGGACAAATATAAATGTAGACAAGAGTTTAACTTATTTAATACACTTAACAAAGTCAGAATTCTACGTCCCATTAAATGTATGAAAAAGAGAAATACCATATGAAAATATACCTATAGATACAGAAAAAAAGCTTTAATAAAACGTAAAATGTATGTGTGTTGTGTTAAATACACACACACAAACACATTTTGGTAATGAAAGCATAGAAAAGAACTTCTTCACCCTGATGAAGTTCATCCACAAAAAGTCTACTGTGAGCTTTCCTTTTCCTCTTCTTTGCCTCTCCATCTCCTTCTTTCCCAGCTTCTCTCCTTTTCCTTTCTTTCCCTTCTGTTTCTGATCAATTCTGTGCAAAATCCATCAGATGGGGCAAAGTAGGATTCTACACTAGCCTGGCAGTGGAGGGAGCAGTGGCCCAAGGCAAGGCGTTGACTCCCAACCAGAGTGAGAAGAAGGTCCGCTCCAGGGGGATGGCCTACTGTGAGGTGTGGGGATGGAGCTGGGTATTCATGCACCCATGCAAGGGCATCCATGCTAAGATTTCCTGCAAGGGCGTCTCAGAATCAGAAGGGAGTGAGGAGACTGTAGAGCCAGACAAAGAGCTGGTGCAGAGTGTAGAAGCCCAAGGAGAGTGAGCACGACATTCATGTGCTGGGGCAGATGGGTACTGAGGGCTCCTACATAGGGGTGTGCCCATGGGTGAGAAGACATTGGTTGCATAAGGGGGAATTGATCAGGTAAAAAAAATAGGAGCTGGTTTTCTCACCACTGGAGAAGAGAATTGCAAATGTGAAAAGAAGAGAAACAAGAATGAATGTGTAGTGTTGGATTGAGATTGCAGTGTGAAATCATGGTTAGAGAGAGAGGGAGTGAGAGATGAAAATTCACATATGTATGTTGACCTTAACTATTGAATTCCTAAATTGTGCAAATGGATTCGGAATATGACTCACTACTGTCTTCTCTGCAGAGCAATGGGATCCCTTTCATGATGTTAATTCTGGGCACCATATGTGTGTTTCTATTGCACTGGGAAGAGAAAAATGTTCACAGAGAGAATGAGATGGCAGATTGTACAGTTTTACTTTTTTTTTTCCTTCCATAGGCCTTGAGGTAGAAGACAGGCTAAAGCTGCTTTATCTAATCAAACGTAATTTGTACATTATTATGATATCACCAAATCATAGGTCAGCAACCTCTATGAATTCTGAACCTATTTTCACATCCACGAATAGAAATGTATTATTTAAACTGGTTCCAAAATGCAGTTCAAATTGCAGCCCTCTCTCTAGGAACATAAAAGGTATTTGCAATCTGCCTTTCCTTTCTTTTCTTTCTATACGCAGTAGAAACTCTGGAGGTATTGCAAATGAACAACCATACGTGGGTGAGAAGCTATCAATTCTCAGGACTTTTTCAAATGGTGAAGTCTACCCTGGTCCGTTGCATGTAACACCTCTCACCTTTGCTGTGAACGTCTCTCTGACACCCTGTGGTGTACAATGGAAGGTGCTGAAAACTAGCAGAGGCTTCTCTTCCAGCTGCTGGTTGAAATGTCAAAATGTCAAAATGTTCCTATTGGTTGCTTCCCAACACTCTGGAGACACGTTCAGGACATAGGCATGGGCAAGGACTTCATGTCTAAAACACCAAAAGCAATGGCAACAAAAGACAAAATTGACAAATGGGATCTAATTAAACTAAAGAGCTTCTGCACAGCAAAAGAAACTACTATCAGACTGAACAGGCAACCTACAAAATGGGAGAAAATTTTCGCAACCTATTCATCTGACAAAGGGCTAATATCCAGAATCTACAATGAACTCAAACAAATTTACAAGAAAAAAACAAACAACCCCATCAAAAAGTGGGCGAAGGACATGAGCAGACACTTCTCAAAAGAAGACATTTATGCAGCCAAAAAACACATGAAAAAATGCTCATCATCACTGGCCATCAGAGAAATGCAAATCAAAACCACTATGAGATACCATCTCACACCAGTTAGAATGGCGATCATTAAAAAGTCAGGAAACAACAGGTGCTGGAGAGGATGTGGAGAAATAGGAACACTTTTACACTGTTGGTGGGACTGTAAACTGGTGCAACCATTGTGGAAGTCAGTGTGGCGATTCCTCAGGGATCTAGAACTAGAAATACCATTTGACCCAGCCATCCCATTACTGGGTATATACCCAAATGACTATAAATCATGCTGCTATAAAGACACATGCACACGTATGTTTATTGCGGCACTATCCACAATAGCAAAGACTTGGAACCAACCCAAATGTCCAACAATGATAGACTGGATTAAGAAAATGTGGCACATATACACCATGGAATACTATGCAGCCATAAAAAATGATGAGTTCATGTCCTTTGTAGGGACATGGATGAAATTGGAAATCATCATTCTCAGTAAACTATCGCAAGAACGAAAAACCAAACACCGCATATTCTCACTCATAGGTGGGAATTGAACAATGAGATCACATGGACACAGGAAGGGGAATATCACACTCTGGGGACTGTGGTGGGGTGGGGGGAGGGGGGAGGGATAGCATTGGGAGATATACCTAATGCTAGATGACGAGTTAGTGGGTGCAGCGCACCAGCATGGCACATGTATACATATGTAACTAACCTGCACAATGTGCACATGTACCCTAAAACTTAAAGTATAATAAAAAAAAAAAAAAAGAAAAATCTTTTACATCTGTTTTGCTTGATTTCTCTGCTAATCCTTCCTCCACTGGCTAAAAAGCCCTAACAAGGCTCCTTTGAAATCTACATTTAAATCTCTTAATTACACTTTGGTTTTTGCCAATGTCTTGCTTGCAATCTAGGTTCAAAAGCAATTTTAATAATATTCATTTCTGTCAATATGCAGAGCCAGCTCTGTCCTTCAAAGTGAATTTTTTGGTCCTCATCGGGCAACTATTGGCATTGGCAGGCATCAGGAACACATTTCCCAGAGCCTCTACCCAGTAACATTTTACATTTGCAATTAATTGTGTAGGCAATTGGACACTAAAGTAATTGTGGACTAAGCAAGCCAATTGTACTCTCAGAAATGAAGGAAAATTATGGCCACATTTAGTAAATTATAGTATAATTCTCCCTACGTGCAATTGGATTCCCCAAATTAAAGGCAGGCATAAAACTGGAGTCACAGAAATGAAATTGTGGGTTCTCATTTTCATTTTGGTTTATGCAGTGTTTTAATGAAGTTATCTTTTTTCAAAAATATCTTCATAATCCATATTTCTAGTTTTTCATAAATTGCTAATGGAAAAAAAAATGCACCCCTTCTGCAATTTTCATACTGTTTTTGTTTTTTAGGATAAAATAAAGATATTGATACTAGTTTACATTAGTCACAGTCATTTTTATGTTGTCTGTTGGTAAAAGTATTTTTAATGCTAAACATTTGCATGGAATATTTTGTCACTAATAGGTCATTGGTTTTACCATATAATTAAATCTTATTTATTCAAAAGCAAGTGGTCCTTTTGACCTCAACTCTTGAGAAACTGGACACCGATTTTGTTAAAATGGGGTAAAACTATATTTTATATTCAAAACTCATATTCCAAATCCCATGTAACTTATATTTCATAATTTGTATTTTCCACATTTAAATCTACTCGGCACCTCATTTGACTATCTAGTTTTCCACCCACAAAAGATTAAGTTCCACAAGTTGTGACAAGGGCACCTAGAAATAGAAAGACTGAGAACAAAAAGCAAATATAGCTGACTGCTTGACAATGAAAAGGAAAAGACAAAAATAATAAAATCAAAACCAACATCAAAAATTTTACAAGCTTGGAGAACTGTCAAAAATTTATTTTGTATAGCAACTGCCTCAGAAGGCAAAATTCTATTCCAATAAAAACTTCACATTTTATAGCTTATATTTAGTGGTTTACAAACAGCTCTCACTTACATTAGTTGGTTTGGTCCTGTGTCATAAGCAGGGCAGATATGTAGCATTCCCTTTCAATAATAAATTATGTAGCATAGGGCCTAATCTTTAGAATAAAATTTTGGATTTTCCTCTAGCTTGATGTGTGACCTTAGACAGTAATGTAACATTTTTGAAACTATGCAAATGGCGATAGTAATAGTTACCTAACACGGCTGTTGAAAAGACTAAGTCAAATAATGCACATGAAGCATTCAGGAACATTCAGTAAATGGGAGCCATTGTTATCATTGAATGTCATAAATGGAGGCTCAGATATATTGACTTGCTTGATGTCACAAAATTAAGAAGAGATAAAGCCGCTTTCTTTTGTTTTTGCAGTTCTGCCATTTGTCTACAAGCTGACTTGCAGTCTTTAGGAATTAAAAGGAAATCACATCCAGGTAATGTCTCAAACAAGTGATTCACCACATAACAGAATTACTAACAAAAATCATATGATAATCTCCATACATGCAGAAAACTCATTTGATAAAGTTCAGCATCTTTTCATGGTAAATTCCCTATCAAACTCAGTATCAAAGAAACATACCTAAAATATTAAAAGCTATATAAGAAAAACCTCACAAACAACATCATACTGAATGGGTTAAAGCTGAAAGGATCCTCTCTAAAAACAGAAACAAGACAAGGATGCCCACTATCACCACTCCTATTTAACATAGTACTGGAAGTCCAAGCCAGAACAATCAGGCAAGATAAATAAAAGGCATAAAAATTGGAAAACAGGAAGTCGAACTATCCCTGTTCATTGATGATATGATCTGATACTTAGAAAACCTTAAAGACTCCTCTCAAAGACTTCTAGATTTGATAAATAACTTCAGTAAACTTTTGGGATAAAAAATTAATGTACAAAAATCAATAGCATTTCTATACACCAATAATGATCAAACTGAGAACCAAATCAGGAATTCAATCACATTTACAGTAGCTACAAAAAAAAAAAAAAAAAACCTAAATTACCTAGGTATACATTTAACTAAGGAAGTGAAAGATTTCTACAAGAAGAACTACTAAACACTGATGAAATAAATCACAAACCAATGGAAAAACATCCCAGGCTCACGAATTGGAAGAATCGATACCATTAAACTGACCATACTGCCCAAACCAATCTACAGATTCAACATAATTCCTATCAAATTACCAAATCATTGTCCATATAATTAGTAAAAACAATTCTGAAACTCATATGGAACCAAAAAAAAACCTGAATAGTCAAAGAAATTCTAATCAAAAAGAAAAAAGTTGGAGCCATCACATTACCTGATTTCAAGTTATATTACGAGGCTATAGCAAATGAAATATCATTTGCTATCCGAGTTTGATGCGGGATTTACCATGAAATATCATGATACTGGTATAAAAATAGACACATAGATTAATGAGATAGAATAAAGAGCCCAGACAAAAAGCCACAGGCCCATAACCAACTGATCTTAGACAAAGTCAACAAAAATATATACTGGAGAAAGACACCCTACTCAATAAATGGTACTGGGAAAATGAGATAGTCATTTGCAGAAGAATGAAATTGGACTCCTGTTTCTCACCAAATATAAAAATTAACTCAAGATGAATTAAAGATTTAAGTGTAAGACCTGAAACTACAATAATCCTAGAAAAAAAGCTAGGAAAAACTCTTCTGGACTTTGGCCTGGGCAAGTAATTTACGAACAAGTCCTCATAAACAAAAACAACAAAAACAAAAATAGATGAATAGGACATAATTAAATTAAAAAGCTTCTGCAGAGCAAAATAAGCAATCAACCTAGTAAACGGACAGCCTATAGATGGGAAAAAGTATTTGAAAACTATGCATCTGAAAGAGGGATAATATGTAGAGTCTACAGGAAACTCAAGCAACTCAACAACAACAACAACAACAAACAAAAAATCCCATTAAAAAGTGCCAAAAGACATAAACAGATATTTGTAAAAGAAGACAAACAAGTGGTCAACAAACATGAAAAAGTGTTCAACATCACTAATCATCAAAGAAATGCAAATTAAAATCACAATGAGATACCATCTTACATCAGTCAGAATGGCTGTTATTAAAATGTCAAAAAACAGCAGACATTGGTGAGGATGCAGAGAAAAAGGAATGCTTATACACTGTTGGTGGAAATGTAAATTAGTATAATTTTTATGAAAAAACTCTATGAAAATTTCTCAAAGAGCTGAAAAGAGAACTACCATTCTATTCAGCAATCCCACTACTAGGTATATACCCAATGGGAAATAAGTCATTATATCAAAAAGATACCTCCACTCATATGTTTATCATAGCACTATTCACAATAACAAGATATGGAATTAACCTAACTGTCCATCAATGGAGAATTGGATAAAGAAAATATGGTGTGTATGTGTGTATGTGTGTGTGTGTGTGTGTATGTATATAAATATATATATTTCATTGATGTGCGTAGTGTTGCATATATACCATAATACTATACTATATAGAGTGTGTATATGTGTGTGTGTGTGTGTGTGTATATATATATACACACACTATAAAAGTATTATGGTATACTACACACACACATACACACACACACATACACACTACCTATAAGTACTACTATATATATAACATTTATGATATACTACATATATTTAATATACACAGCACATATATACTGTATTATACATATATAGTATACATATATACATTATACTATATATGTATGTATGTAGCATATACATATACTGTGTAATATACTATATATACATATATACTTATGCTGTGTATATACATATATACATCTATACAGTATATATACATATACATACATATATATGAGGCCCACTGAGGAGTTAGTATATACAGTATATGTATATACTACATACATACTATATGTAGTATATATAGTATATATGTATATATCATATAAGTCAAGCATAGTATATATAGTTGTTTATATATATATGTCAAGTATAGTGTATATATATGTTTACATACACATATATATGTAATATATATAGAATGCTACTCAGCCATTAAAAAGAATGTAATCATGTATTTTTCAGCACCCTGGATGGATCTGGAGGCCATTATGCTAAGTGAAATAACTCAGAAAGTCAAATACTGCATATTCCCACTCGTAAGTGGGAGCTGAACAACAGGTACACATGGACATAGGGAGGGAGAGAGCAGACCTTGCAGACTACAAAAGGTGGGAGGGTGGGGAGGGGGTGAAGTTTAAAAAATTACCTAATAGGTACAATGTTTACTATTTGTGAGGTGTGTACACTAACAGCCCAGACCTCACCTCTACAAAATATATACATGTCACACATCTGCACTTGTACCCTCTAAATCTATCAAAATAACAATTATTAAAAGAAACCAAACTTCAGATATTTTTTCCTTGGATGGGCCCTGAGGGTTCATTGACTGATAAAGGATAAGCACCAGGAGAGATGTATGGAAAATAGTAGACTCTAAAAGTCAGCCCTTTCTAGTTGATTTTCTCCTTTTCTTCTTTCCTTCCTCTCTTCTTTTCCTCCAGTCCTTTGTTCCTTCTTCCTCTTTTGCTTTCTATTCTAACAAGAAAAATTAGTTTAGGATTTATTATAGGCCAAGATTTACACTAGGTATTTACACTATATTAACTAGAATCCTTAGTCTAAAGAAGTTTATATTTAGCTGGGTCAACAAAGAAGTAGAAAGCCATAAGATAGTGAGGAAAATACCGTGACAGAAATAACACAGTGCTACAGATGGTGGAGGAGCGTGCTTAACCTTCATTTGAGAGCTTGGGAAGGTTTTTATGGGGAAGAGTTACTGATATTGAGGTCAATGAGTTCCAAAACCAATACATGGCAACTGGGGGGTGGTGGATAAAGAAGTCCAGAGGAAACTGAGAAATCGGGTTCTTTTTTCAAAGTTTTGAGTAGTTAAACAGGGGGAGAGAGAGCAGTGGTGAAAGACGCCCACAGAGGAGTTAGCAGATAACAGATGACAAATGGGTGTGTGTGCAAAGTGATGGCTCTACTGGCAAATTGGCTAGCTGGAAACTGAAGTCCCTGGAATCCTCTTCTTTCTGTATTTCTGGGTTATGGTTGTCCTTTTGTGCTACTAAGTTGTGCTAGGTTGGGAGATGGAAGTGAAGTACCTGCATCATGCTCTGAAGGTCATTCATGACAGGCAGTGACAGGCAGTGAGACAGAAGGCTTTTCACTTTTCTTTTCTGCTCTTCATGCCCTGTTCTTTTTGACTATTGACTCTGTAGCAATCCCGGCTGATCACCAGAAGCTTTGCCGTAAACCCAGAGGCAGGCCATAGTGGCTGACACCCACCAAATTCCCATAGATGTCCACGTCTGCCCCTTCAGGCTCTGCTCCAGCATCTGGGCACGTCCAGCTGCCAGCCTCCCCCAAGCTCCAAATCATTCACCTTCTCCTAAGCTGGTGAGTGACTTTTGTTTTGTTTTGTTTTTCACATTTTCCTTATTAGAACTTTACTTTTCAGTTTTTACCACAATTTTTATGACCTAATTTATTAACAGAATATTTTATAATTCTATTCTGCTTCCATTAATATAGTCAGTGATACTAAGAGTAGCTCTAGGGCAATATAACTTTAAGGATAAGAAACTGAAATGGATTCTTTGCATACTCTGATGAGGTTAAAGGGCATCAGTGACCATGTTGTAGGGGCGCAGGGGGGCACTGAGGGCCCTTCCCAAGCAGTGACAAAGCTCTTGCTTAAATTTTCACCTGTGAGCACCTGTCAACATATGCCTTTGGAAACCAACTCCATCATAGTGAATTTTACTGAAAATAAGTAGAATGGAATTAATTGGCTGTTTGCAAACATCCTAGAGATCTTGGAGGAAAAAAAAAATAACAGGTCAAATTGTATGGATTTAAAAATCTCAATTCTAGGTCCAAAATGTACCAGCAAGCTATGATTGCCCTAAAAGCAATCTGATCTCCTCTAGCTACAGGACTGAGATTTCTAAAAGCCGAACCTGAAGTCTAATCTAGCGGGTTGCTAGATTTCCATGAAAAATGAATGATCAATGCAGCTAAGGATGGGAGCAGGTGGGAAGGTCCCTATGAAATGAGGACCTCAAGCATTCTGCTGAGCCTCTTCTGCCCACAGAAACAGCCTTTTCTCCTGTCTGAGGACATCAGCCAGCCCTTGCCTGAGAAAGCAATGCCAAGAATAGCATTCTCTGAAGTAATCACCTGAGGAGAGACTTAGGATCATTCTTCAGGCCTCCTGTCACCAAATCTCATTGCTTCTAGTCCAGAAATTTCCAGATTTCCTCAACTGATGGTTACCTTAGCATCTGTAATTTTCCGCAGTGCCCCGGGCCAAATAAAATAGCCAACAATTCTGTTCATGAAGTTTACCCCTCAATATTTATTGATTTATTCATTTATTTATTTTTTATTTTGTTATTACTTGAAAGAATACTACAGATAAACCAAAAGAAAAAATAATTGTACTCCATTCTTAAGCAACCACAAATATTTGCTAATGGCCCATGCACACCTAAAATCTCAATCTAGAAACATAGGACACCACTGGAGGCTGCAGCATGATCTCATACTGAAACTGGGATGTACACCAAGCGAGTCGTTCCCATGGAGTCTGACAAATATTGACTATCTTGGTATTTTCCTTAAAATATCCTGTGGCACCCTTGTAATTGTATTGTGGTGCCCTGGGGCACATTGATGCACAACCTGGGAACTGTATTTTTAAACCTATAACCAGATTCAAGTCCAAGTGTTTCCCAGAGAAACAGGAAAAAAGTGTGACCCAGGAGAGAATGAAGTATATACAAAGGAGTTGTGAGACTTGGCCAATTTACACTGACAGAATTAGGAGCTACACGGGGAAGTGAATCCTAAGTGTATTAGATTATGCCCTGCCCAAACTGCTCTCGGTGTAGGCCACTCAGTTTAGGGTGTTTTGTTACATTTCAATTGATTACCAGAGGCATTAGTAGAATCAGTAAAGTTGTGAAAAGGAAAAGACAAAAATAATAACATCAAAACCAACATCAAAAATTTTACAAGCTTAGAAAACTGTCAAAAATTTAATGTTATTATATGTTTTGTTTTAGCCGGACAACATTGGCTTTAATCTGGAAAATGTATTGGAATCAGAGGGCAAGATGGGGCACATGGGAATCAGTTAAGTCTCAAAGAAAAATGGTCAAGGGCATACTTAGGTAACACTCAGCAAATATTCATCAGAGAAATTTGCCACCCATTGCAAATGTGGGATTGTCTGAGTCCTTTGGGGCCACCATCACATAATACCTTTAGGTAACTTATAAACAACAGAAATTGGCTTGGCATGGTGGCTCACATCTATAATCCCAGGACTTTGGGAGGCCGAGACAGGCAAATCACTTGAATCCAGGAGTTCAAGACCAGCCTGGGCAATATGGTGAAACCCTATCTCTACAAAAAGCCCATGTGGTGGTGTGTGCATGCAGTTTCAGCTTCTCAGGAGGCCGAGGTAGGAGGATCGCTTGAGCCCAAGCAGTGGAGGTTGAAGTGGGCCAAGATAGCTCCACTGCACTCTAGGCCAGGTGACAGAGCCAGACCCTGTCTCAATGGAAGGATGGAAGGGAAGGGAAAGTGAAAGGGAAGGGGAAGGGGAAGGGGAAGGGAAAGGGAAGGGGAAGGGGAAGGGGAAGGGAAGGGGAAGAGGAAGGGAAGGGGAAGAGGAAGGGAAGGGGAAGGAGAAGGGGAAGGGAAGGGAAAGGGAAGGGAAGGGAAAAGGAAGGGAAGGGAAAGGGAAGGGGAAGGGGAAGGGAAGGGGAAGAGAAGGGAAAGGGAAGGGAAGGGAAGAGAGAAAGGTATTGCTCACAGTTATTAAGCTGCAAGTCCAAGACAAGGCATGAGCAGGATCGATGTCTTGAGATGGTCTGTTCCTCATGGGTGGTGCCTGCGTTTCCTCAGGCAGGGAAGGGATAGATAGGCTCCCCAAGTCTCTTCCAAAAAGACACTCCTCCACTCATGGGGACAGAGCCCTTATGTCCTCCTAAAGGCTCCACATGTTAAGACCATCACACTGGGGATAAGGTTCCAGCATAGGAATTTTGGGGGGACACCAACATTCAGATCATAGCAAGAGTAAAAGATCTGTCGTAGACTCTGTGCTCTCCGGGTTTACATTTGGCTAGAAGGATCAAGCATTAGACTACTAGACAAGCAATTCAGTTGACGTGGGGGACATTTTTAAATGGCCAATACATAAACAAAAGCAGTCTAGATTTCAATCTTAGAAATGTTTAATATGAGGAACTGACATGTAATCTGGGATATTAAGATGGGGGACTTGAGGAATTGGTCCAATAAAATATGGGATGGGGTGCACCAGAACTGCGTTTGAGTATTAGGAGAGCCTGGTGTCCCTGTAGCTGGGTGGGTGCAGAGCCACTTCTAAGAAAAGGGCACGCAGCAGTTTCTAAAAATCACTTCTGTGGAATTCTCGTTTTCCCAAACATGCCAAATGACTGAAACTTATGACTATAGTAGTTTTTCTGTGACTTGAGATCTTACTTAATAGTATGCAGACTCAGAGTTTTTGAGTGGATTGTATATTGGCTTTATTTCCTATCTAAATGAGTACAGGAATATCCTCTGTGTCCTTACCCATATGCCTTCTTGTCATATTAAAAATACTGGCAGTCATTTGTATGTCTCATCAATCTCCCCCATTAATTCACTCAGAGCTAGTGCTAGACAGCAGATGGGCAAAAATGTGCTCCAACCAGCCAGCCCCTCTCCGAAGATGGTGACTGTTAGCATCCCAAGCCCAAGTATTGTTAATTACCCGGTAGGGCTAGTAGATTATGGCCTGCTTAGAAGACAGGAGGTTTTTAATGTCTCAGTGTTCACAGGTTTATGAAGCAACGTGTGTCTTCTCTTGGACCCCTCCTGGTTCATGGTGTCTTTGGGCTTCTATTTCTTCCTCTAATCTGTGTAAGAGTTGTTTTGTGTTTTGCCTTTTGTAGTGAAAGGGCACCTCAACCAGTATTCAGGCATCCTCAGGTTGCAATCATTTTCAAGCTTCATAAAAAATTGGAATGCATTGTCTTAGTACTTATAGAGTAGGCTTTGGAACTAAATAAGGGAAGAGGGAATGCGGTCAGGCTCTCCTAGTCCTCTCCATTTGGGAACCCAAATAGAGGAGAGAGAGCTGCAAAGTTCTCACAGGAGGTTGATTAGCATCACCTCAAACTTACAGACTAAATTGCTGAAAAAAAAGAAAAAGTTCCAGTTTGGGGAGAGCTGGTGGGAGGTGTCCCATGTGCAAGATGGTGCCTTAATTCAAGACGATGACAGGTGGCCTGGAAGGAGCTTTATCCTTTTCACTTATGATACTCCTTGAGCTGAGAGGGGTTCAGTACTACAGTATTTTGTCACCTTTGCATCTCCCAACCCAGAGAAGCATCTCAATTATTTTTCCATGGGTCAATCGAAATCAAGGGGAATGCTCGAATAAACCAGTTTACCTGAGAAGAATCACTGAGACTAGTTATTGTGGTGATAAATCAATCAGTTATTCAGCCAGATTTTTTGTTTGTTTGTTTGTTTTCCTCCTTCTAAAAGCATTTATAGACACCTTGGTTGCCAGGCACTGACTCTGAATTAGTCACTGAGGGCCCAAGAGAAGCCACTCATTGCTTCACTCAAAGCTCTGAGTGAATTAATGGGGGAGAGATTGATGAGACATACAAATGTGCCTTCATCCGTTCTGTGAGCAGCTTTCTATTATGGCACACACACTTTTTATTTAAGGAAAGAAACAGCAGGCTGTACCTTGCATGTATTCTATAATGAACTGAGAATTTCTCACAAACCAAGGGTTTGCTGTCTGAACTGCAGCAATCTGAGAGCATATACAGTAGAAACTTTTAGTTCTGCATCTGTGTGACTTTGAAAGTTCACAAAATATTCTCATCTTCTATTTATTTAGCTGTATAATGAGGGTGAAATCACACTTGCATCATAGATTTGTGTCGTAGAGTGACTGAGATGATGCGAATAAAGTGCTTAGCATGGTGACCAGCACATGCAGACTGCTTAGTGAACACTAGTGTTGCTCTGATACACACAGATGCAAAGCACATTAAAACAACATGGTCCTCACTTCACCTTTGAAACGCACCCCATCTTTTGCATTGTTCCCAGATGGTTTTCACGAGCAGATGGTTCTAACCCTTGGATTCCAGAGATTGATACCGTATACTGAGTCTTACTGAATGAGAAAATGGTAAGAATTGGTGATATAGTTTGGCTCTTGGTTTGGCTCTGTGTCCCCACCCAAATCTCACCTCGAATTGTAATCCCCATGTGTGGAGGGAGACAGGTGATTGGATCACCTGGGCAGTTTTTCCCATACTTTTCTCATGATTAAGTGAGTGAGTTCTCACAACATCTGATGGTTTTATAAAGGATTCTTTTTTTGTTTTGGATTGTAGAAATTTATTAAAATTAAAAGACATTGTATAATTAATCTTCTTGTGCCATGAGACTCCATCAGGCTGTCTACAAAGACTACTGGGAGGCTGAGGATTGCTTGAACCCAAGAGTTTGAGGCTGTAGTGAGCCTCAAAGGGCCACTGAACTCCAGCCTGAGTGACAGAGTGAAACCCTTTCAAGGGGTAATTCAAAGGGGGATTCTTCCCCCTTTGCTCTCACTATCTCCTGCCACCATGTGAAGAAGCTGCCTACTTTCCCTTCTGCCATGATTGTAAGTTTCCTGAGGTCTCCCCAGCCATATAGAACTCTGAGTCAATTAAACATCTCTCTTTTATAAATTACCCAGTCTCGGGTATTTCTTTATAGGACTGTGAAAACCTACTAATACAGTTGGCCAACAAGCAAATTAATCCTAAATATATATAGCTTTTAAAAGAAGGCATTTAGAGAGAACATGATTGACTCACACTTCTCAGGGCCTTCTTTTGGCCTCCATGGTGAAGAAGGAATAATTATTTGCTCTAAGCAATTGGGCATGCTTGCGGGACCAGACATAAAATTGATCAAATGTCTGGAAAGAACATGGCTGCCTACAAGATTGGAGTTCTTCCCTCCCCTTCCTCCTTTCATGCTTTCTTTCTTAGTCTTTTCTTATTCTTTCATTTTTCTTCCTTTTCTGGAAATTTTAAAAGTCCTGTCCATTCTCTTAACAACCTGTCATGTTGCCTTGCAGTAACACAGGCCTATCAAAGTGCTAACCAATGAGAAAAGAGAAGGTTTAGACATTGGTTGCAATTATGTTAAAGTCTGCTAGCAGTCTAATTAGAAACTATTAGAGTAGAGGTTAAATCAGTCTTAAGGCCAGCAGGGGCTAGGGCATAGGTGAAAATCACACAGTACGCAGACTTCGAGATTCGGGTCTTCCCTACTTGCCTTCTTTCCACTCTTCTCTCATAATGCATCTGATCATGTATCACCTAGACTGCCTTCTGAAACTCAATACAACCTTCCTCATATGGCATTTGGCAGTGATTCTCCTTCCCTAGTTTAAAATTAAATTTCATCTGTTTTGCCTTAGGCTTCTCCAAATTTTTGTTAGCGATCTGCTTCCCAGCCCTGTGGGAAGCCACATTTGGAGTTCGGGTTGGATTTCTGTGGAGGAGATGGGATGAAACAGGCAAGCCAGGAGCTATCACAGGTGGCAAATCCTGGGACGTTTGGATCACCAGAATACCTATCAATGTCAGAAGTCTGAACTAGAAGGGAGGTAGGAAACATCACCTATTTTACCATTTGGCTTGGTCTGGTCGGCCAGCAGGAAAGGTAGCCTGTTAAATGTACAGCCGTCTCCTGAGAAGGCATCTGGGGAAGACAGCCTGATCTTCTCACAGCCCTAGCAGTCCAAAGAGGATCCTGCAAAGGCAATAAAGTCATCACAGACAATGGAGGGATGGGATCGATAAATAAGTCTCCTATGTGTCTGAATCATAAAACAATAATGAAAATAAAACACTACGGGATAACAAAAATGATCATTTCTTGCATACCTACTGTCAAGTAGTATACCAACAGCTTTGGAAAATATTACTTTTTTTTAACTTTTCCTCTATGAAGTATTGTGTGGAGATTGCTAACACTCTTGATACTTCAGTCTTCTGTATTTCCTGCACATGTGGACTGACCAACCAGCTTCTCTTAGAGTTTCTTTGCAGCGATCAGAATAGTTACAGCCAATTGAGGAGAGAAGCTGTGTGTCATTTCCAATCACAGGCAACTAAGAACAAGTGGAAAATTCTCACGTGATGTGCAGTGGTATCTTTTTTTTTTTTTTTTTTTTTCAGATGGAGTCTCGCTCTTGTTGCCCACTCTGGAGTGCACTGGTGCAATCTCAGCTCACTGCAACCTCTGCCTCCCGAGTTCAAGCGATTCTCCTGCCTCAGCCTCCCAAGTAGCTGGGATTACAGGTGCCTGCCACCACACCTGGCTAATTTTTTTGTATTTTTAGTACAGACGAGGTTTCACCATGCTGGCCAGGCTGGTCTCAAACTCCTGACCTCAGGTGATCCACCCACCTCAGCCTCCCAAAGTTCTGGGATTACAGACATGATCCACCGTGACCAGCTGTGCAGTGGCATCTTTTGATGGAGGCAGTCTGGATCTCAATGTTACCATGCAGAAGGCAGGTGCTCTTGGGGTATTCTGACCCACTTTGGACTTCAGGAGAGTAAGAAATGAACATTTATTGTGTTAAGTCACCAGGATTATGAGGTTTGTTTATTACAGCAGCAGAGACTTACAGTCCTGAGCAATGCAAAAAGAAGCAGGCGTGGTGCAGACAGGGTAAAGCATGAGCCTAGGTCACACAGTTGGAAAATCGTAGGGCCAGGTTTTGAAATCAGGCTAGTCTGACCCTATAGCCAAGTGCATAATTAATATATTCTCCTGGCTTCACTCAGAAGGGGGACCTGCTCAGTCTCCAGGAGTCAAACCAGAGCAAAAGTTTCCCAGGGAGCAGGTCTGCGGACACAAACAGATGGCAGCTCATGCACACATGTACAAGGCCCATGGGAAGAAGCTGTTCCAGCAATTCCCCGCCTCCTCTCCCACAGTTTGGCGACTTCTCTCATTGGTTTAAGCTCTTGGTATTTTATGTTTGTCTTAGAAATAATTTTTAAAATCTGAGTTTACATCCCTTGCTGAGCTAATAGATTATAATAAACATGAGTAAATTATTGCATGTTTATTGTAGCTTGGAAGCAGAAATAATAGTCAAAATATTGGAGTATCAGTGAAGTAGATATACAGCCAATCAGAATAGACCATGGTTTGATATTATAAGTACAGAATACCTTGTTCGATCCTGTAAATACACACTGGTAGGGTGTCAGCACTCCTTAGAAAAATTTCAAAGTCATTACTCTGATGTTTATCCAAAAATAACAATGGATATACTGAATATGTAGATCCAAACAAAAGCTTAATGACCCCAGGATAAATTTGACTTTTAAAAATAAGCTTGCCTTTTGCTAATTTTTCATATGAATATCTGATCATCTCTTGTTATTTTCTTTTTTATGTTGAAAGTCTATTGCAAGAAAAAAAAGTTTTGTATAATTGACAATGTTGGTTATTTGAATTCTTATTAATTACAATATTAGCAGTTTTGGATATATCTGGGAAATATTAAATTGTTGTTATGCATGCTGTCTGCAAAAATTTTGAGGAAATATCTTAACTTCTTGTGTTAAATACACGGACATGTGAAACTTCACTGTGTGTGTGTGTGTGTTTATACACACATACAAACAGTCTATTTTGGAAATACTTATAATTTAATATTGTAATTATGTAACAATTTGGTTTTTGTCACTTCAGAATGATCTTTATGTGATCAAATAGAGAGTAACATTTCAACTTAGCAATTAAAAAATAGTTTGGCTCTTTCTAAATGGAGAACCTTGTTCTGTGAGGCTCAGTATGAGAGCATTGCTGCTTCTCTCAAAGTTGCCAAAAGTCCCTCTGGAATATGCTGGTGCCATCCATGTTGTTTGACCTTTATGATGTACTTTTTTAGACTGGCAATGAGACCAGGCCAGGCAGGTGGCAGAGATTGGATGTCATTATCTCTATGAACTTGGTGCTCACTGGGGAGGGTGAAGGGAGCCCTTGCTTTAGTCTTGCCTGGATCACATTACGTAAACAGAATTTGGCTACCTTCTTCCATAGGAGCATCTGCTCTACGAATGGTCCCCGGTGTGCCCATTTTGTTTTGTCCAAGACAGTGATCATGAGTAATGGATCGGGGTGAGCCTGCTAATGCATGATGTAATTGTCAGAGGGATTTAATTATCAGCACATTACCTGTGGGATTATAGTGCAGTGCCGTCTCCAGCTTACTCTCAGGCAATTTAGAATGAGCATGAACCGCAGGAGGGGGAGTCCTCCAAAAAGTCACTAGCAATACATTTGCTCCTCTCTTACCTAAGAGCTTGGAATAACCATTACTTATTTTACTTGCTAATTTTAATAGAAAATCTATAATAGATTTCTGTTCCTTATGCATCATCTCATCTCTGCATAAAAGCCATTCATCTATCATGCCAGGCTTTTTGCAAAATACTGAATCTTGAGGACATTCACTCATTGAGTGCTAACCACTCGGGCACGGACTCTGTAAAAGCAATAATTATCAGACATACTTTTATTCTTCTGGCAACAGGCCCTGTGAATAATGAAGTATGGCTTTCTGGTTTTAAGACAGGTTAAAGAAAGGCATAGTGAAGCCGTCAAATTATATCTTTACCTAACAAACTAAAATAATTATTGGTATCAGTTATTGAGATCAATAATTATCAGAACATTTGTAAAACACAGTAGTCAAAATGCTATACTTACTGTAGTTTAAGGCAATTTATTTTAAATTGAATGTTATATACTAAACTAGCTATAGCATATAGTTGTATAGGTATTATACATATATTAAAATACTTGCATTCATAATCATGAAATCCATTATATGGATGAGGGAACAGATTCAGAGATGTTAGGTAACTTCTCAGGGACATGCAGTAAGAATTTATGTAAAATAAGTGAAGACAAGGCCGGGCGTGGTAGCTCACGCCTGTAGTCCCAGCACTTTGGGAGGCCGAGGTGGGTGGGTTCACTGAGGTCAGGAGTTCGAGACCAGCCTGGCCAATACGGTGAAAGCCCGTCCCTACTAAAAATACAAAAAAAAAAAAAAAAAAAAAGACTTAGCTGGCCATGGTGGCGGGCACCTGTAATCCCAGCTACTCAGGAGCCTGAGGCAGGAGGATCGCTTGAACCTGGGAGGCAAATGCTGCAGTGAGCTGAGATCATGCCACTGAACTCCAGCCTGGGTGACAGAGCAAGATTCGGTCTCAAAAACAACAACAACAAAAACAAAAACAACAACAAAAACAGAGGTGAAGACAAAAGTCAGAGATTTAGATTAAAGATCGTTAAAGATTGTCGTTAAGGAAGTGAAACATACAAAATGTATTTTTTTTAACCTAGCTGATTAACAACCTGTCGGCTGGGATTCAGAGTTTCTGCTTCACAATCTATAGGGTTCCCAGCCATGTTCAGGGTCCAGCAGCCTGCACAGTGGAGCCACTTCACCCTCATCTGTCCTCCGCTTGAGCTCTCCTGTGTGTCTACATTCTGCTCCCACACCGACAGGCCTGCACCCCACTTCTCACACACGCTTCACTCTATCCACGTTTGCCAAGACCCTCTCTCACACCACTCCATTAGTGTTCACCTCTCTGCTAAGATTAGGAAAATATTGTTACTAACACGATTGGGTATACACTTTTGCTTTATAAATTATTAAAATTATGTTCTCAAAAGAATTTCTAATTCACGAAAATATAAAAATATTAACTTGAATTTTAAAAAGCTTTATGATTCCAGTTTTCATTTTTAAATGGCTATATATATGCAGAAAAAATAAGTTTATTTTTAAATTATTCTAGATTATAATATTTATATTTCTACAATAAACATGAACCATTTTATGAACAATTTTTAAAAACCTTCTTAATTGCCTCCAATATTTAATAAAACTGTAAAGCAACTTACTTGATGTGAAGCCGGATAATTTTCTTATATCTTTCTGATAGATATATGTATACATCAGTGTATGTATACATGCATGTGTGTGCTTATGTGCGTTAGCCGTAGTTATCTGATATCTGTATGAGGAAAATCTGATATTGCATAAACTGAGGATTTTTTTTCTTAAATCACAAACTACTTGAACTGACCCTTAATTGTAAATTATCTGTATAATTCAAAAGTCCAACATTCAAATGATCATTTAATTTAGATTTATATAAAATTAACTGTTTTAGAATAACTTCCTTGTTTTCTTTAAAAATCAGATTTGAAAGATAATTAACATTTTTTGACATACAAATATTTTTACATTGTTCTTTTAATATTTAATATTGACCTCATATTCCTTTTTAACTAAAGATGTATCATATTTAAAATATTTCTTATTAGAACTCATGTTTCAGGTTACTTTTTTTTTTTTTGGCTATAACTTAATTTCTCATTTGTGAGCCCCAGAAAAGTAAAGTCTACGTTTTAATCATTTTTCGTTTTTCAACATCAAATGGACCTCCTGATATATAGTCAGCATGAGCTGATTTTGGATTTTGATTTCTCTTTATCAAGTCAAAGTTTGTGAACAAATTCAGATCAGTTCCATATCACTAATTATTAGATGTCATTAACCTTCAGCTTTCAAAATCATGTATTCCTTTTTTTTTCCAACATTTTTACGTGTCATCATTCCTGCAACCTAAGTCTTCCTCATTGATACTTTCTCTTCCTCCAGGAACCACTCAGATCTGGGGTAAGAATGCTGGATTAAATTCTAGATGATCTGAAGCCTCACCACTTACTTGCTGTATGATTTGGGCCAAGCCTATCTCTCTGAGCTGCAAATCATCTGGAAAGGTAATATTGACATATTTTTTACGTAAACCCCCAAACTCTTAAAGGTATCCAATAAGTTAATGTTTATGAAAGAAGTATTATAATCTTAAATATGCTATATAAATACAAATTTTAGTCTCTTATTTTATGCCAATATGTAATTTAATTCTTGTTCTTTTTGAATGTTTGAAATTATTTAATGTATTATATTGCACTGTTTTATCCTATCTGTATGCTAAACATATTAATGTGATGATAATGAAAAATTTAAATCTTTTTTATTATATATCTTTTCTATTATATGATTATAACATAACTTTTATTCTCACAAATTCAATAATTTCAGCCAAATGTTTGGGCACATTCTAGTTTCTTAGTAAGGATATATGTGTGTGTGTGTCTGTGTGTCTGTGTGTGTGTGTGTGTGTTGTACCTGTGTGCATGAGTGTTCTTTATCCTCTTTCAAACTTACAGTGATTTTTTAATGAAAACTATAATTAAGGGGCTTCAATAATTTTTAAAAATCATTTTCCAACTTCAGGAAATATTTTCTGTTGAGAGAGAGATTGAGGATATCATTCTGTTCTATTTTTATAAATCACTAGTTACAGAAAATTGTTTCCAACTTTAGATATTCCCTCAATAATAGGGTGAAGTTAAGGGAGAAAAGCCAGGAAATCAACAGAAGGACATATTTGGTGTTATCAAATGGCTTGCTTTTTATAAGAACATCTTCAAAAGTCATGGAGAGGTCACCTGTAACACTAGGGTGTATTTTTCTGAAGATGTACGTTATGCTGTGTTAAAGATTGCTCAGCCAGAGGCTTGGTATCTCCTTCCCGCTCTTTCACTAAGTAGCTGTGAGATCACTGGTAACATAATTAGTTTTCCTGGGTTTTGACTGATTTATCAAAAAAATGAGAAGACTGGACTACACAATTCTAAAAGTCCTTTCAATTCCAACAATCTACAAATAATAATTCTATGACTACATTAGGGCAAAAAAAAATTATAGTTACAATAATCCATTAAAGCCCCAAATGACTCTCTGGTGCAAGCTTACTGGTAACCATTGTCTTTGAATATTTCTATATATAGGGGCTCACAAGGTGACTTCTTACCATCTAAGAGTCAACCAAGGATTCAGGTTTGGAAACAGTTGGTAATTCCACTTCATGGGCTAAATTTTATTTGCTCTTTTAAGAATTTTTTTCTTTTATAATATGAGAATGTCATATCTGAGCCAAAAAAAGGGCTTGAAATGCTATTCACTTTGATATAAAAAATCAAGATTTTTTAAAATCCCACAGAGTAAAAAGTAGAGCCCCCATAAAAATGTCTACATTTGACCTTGGAAAATTGGTCTGTTTTCTCAATGGCCTATTTTTTGTCTGTTAAACAGGGAGTAAAGTCTTCCTTCCCCATAATTTTTTTCCAGAAACAACAATCTAAATAACAAATTAACTTCATATAATACAGTACACACCAACAAGCACAGTGAGGATGAAGGAGGTGGATCATCTCCCTTAGGTCTCCGTGCTAATTCTCAGCTCTGCTTTACCATGTGCAACTCAAAACATCCATCTGATGCTTACCTTGTCAGTCCAACAAACATTTATTTGAGTACTTGCTGTGTACCAGGTACTGTGTTGGTGATGGAATTAGGAGTTCTTTCCTCTAGAAGGTCATAAATATATAACCCTCATTTTCATATCCAAGTTCATAGTCTCATCCAAGCAAGCTCTTAAAGCGCACACATACTATTTCATGAAACATTAATTTGGTGGTAGGCATCTCTGAAAAATCACAAAGTATTGAGACAGATACATCCAGAAAGAAAGAAAAGGGATAATATAAGTTTCTAATATGCATTCAAAGTCAAAGTGACTCAAGAAAAGAATTAAAAATATAATCCACAGAGCCATAAAAAGGGATGACATCATGTTCTTTGCAGCAAGATGGATGGAGCTGGAAGCATTATGCTAAGCAAAGTAATGCAGGAACAGAAAACCAAATATCACATTTTCTTACTAATAAGTGGGGGCTAAATTTTGGGTACTCGTGGACATAAAGGTGGACAGAGTAGACACAGGACACATAAAGGTGAACACGGGGCTCAGGGACAACTCTGAGCAAGGGTTGAAAATGATTGCTCAGTATCTGGGTGACGAGATCAGTCACAGCCCAAATTTCATTTTCATGCAGTATACCCAGGTAACAAAACTGCACATGGACCCCCTGAATCTGAAATAAGAGTGGAAATTACTACAAAAATAAATAATAAAATAAAATATGCATAGGAAGTTAGAAAAAGGAAAATACATTTTTTCCAAATTTATCTTAAATAGCATCCTGCTTAATCCTGGAATGCAAGAAAGGATGTTGGCTATTACAGCTATTCAGTGTGTTCCAGACATTCTGGTCAGTGCAGTAATATGCAAAACAAATAGGCCAGGCATGGTGGCTCATGCCTGTAATCCCAGCACTTTGAGAGGCCGAGGTGGGTGGATCACAAGATCAAGAGATCGAGACCATCCTGGCCAACATGGTGAAACCTCGTCTTTACTAAAAATACAAAAATTAGCTGGGTGTGGTGGCAGATGCCTGTAATCCCAGCTACTCAGGAGGCTGAGGCAGGAGAATTGCTTGAACCTGGGAGGTGGAGGTTGCAGTGAGCCGAGGTCGCTGGGGACAGAGCGAGACTCTATCTCAAAAACAAAACAAAACAAAACAAAAAAACCCCACAAATAATAATAATAATAATAAAACAAATAAAAGGTATCACAAAGAATGAAAAGAAAAAAAGAAATAAGATCCAAACAGAAAACAATGAGGCCTCCTGCAGATGGTGCTGAGCTGACCTATGCACGGTCAACATGGTCTTCCTCTGGATTCAGCACTTCCTTGCCTTCTTCTTGTGCTATGAAAGATGAGTTCAAGGAATGTCGATGAGGTCAACAGGACTGACCATGTTCACAGTATCTGTTAGAGCCTGGTCAATATTTAGAGACATAATCCCTACTGGGCATCGGGGAAGGAAAGGGAAGCTATTACTGTTGTTGTTATACCTGTTTGTAAAAGCTTAATTATTATTATATCAGGATGTTATTATTTACTAAAAATTAATATAGCATGCAAGAAACATTTATTACAATGCATGCTGGTTTACTTAGTCAAAGACAATAACAAACCTTCCTTCAGTACTATAGAGCCATCTATGGATTATCTCATTTAATGCTGACACAGTTCCATGATATAAGATCTGTATCACCATTATTATCACCATTTCATCAATTACAAAAAAAAGACATGACACTGAGGGAAGATAAATAACTTGCATCATGTCTAACTAGTAGTAAGTGACAAAATAGGGATTCAAATTAAGAACTGCCTCTAGTCCCCATCACTGATCATTATCCTAGCCTGCCCTGTCTCACCGGACTTGAAGTTTAGCTCACCTGGTCTAGTATCACTGTGGTTTCTGCCATCTTTCTTATCCTGCAAGACACTGTAAAGTTCAGATTATTTAGCCACAATGGTGTCTTCTTCCTTAGAGCTAGAGAAGAAGCACCAGGCGTCTGAATCTGCTCTGTCCTCGACAAGACTACAGCCGACATGTGAGTCAAACCCTGAGAGAACATTAGGAGCACACTAAATGATTGATGAGGCTGGAGCTTGGTCCTAGAAAAAACATAAAATCTTGACTTTCTGGGTCCGGGTCAACAGGAGTTAGTGAGAAGACAAAGCATGGAACTCGGGTAAGGAATTGACCTGGTGAATTCTCCTACTGTTAACCTACTTGTGCACTTTCATAAAAGCAAGTGCTTCCATTGGTCTTCAAGTTAATTTCCAAGTTGGTGCCATGCCTAGTTATGTATTCCAACGTTTAGCCTTAGGAAACATTTGCAGACTTGCATTTTATACACGGTCCAGGGCAAGGGTTTTAGAATCACAGAGCTCAAGTCTCAAGCCCCAGCTTGGTTTCTTACTGAAAAGGTGAATTTGATGATTTAACCCTCCCTGATCGTTAACCTCAGCCTCAGAATACTAATAGTATCGGACATAATCGATGAGAAGATGCAGTCTGATTTTTGTATCCATGACATCTCAATTTATTTCCATTTTCCCCTTCCTTGTCCTGACCTCAGTAACAAAGATCCTGAGCATGTGATCTTTTGAGATCAGAGTTTCTGAAAACAGACAAGGAAAAATATTCCTTTACTCAATATTTAAGTATTAAGAGACTACTCCTTATCAGAAGCTGGGCTAGATGAGTGGAGGTCAGTGTCGAATAGTCAGGTAAGGTCCCCAATCTCATTGTGCTCATGGAATAAAATGAATATGACCAAGTTCCTTCCTTTGAGAAGAGTTTATTTTAATGGAATAAAGTGGAAATCACCAATTTCTCCTTTGAGTATTGCTGGTGGATAGTGTGTCCTCAGTTTGGCAATTCTTAACTGTGTGTCATATCTCAGCTCATTCCTGCCTTCCAGAAGTCTTCCCTAAACCTGCCATGAACATAGGAATCTACTGTTGTAATTAATTTAGCTTATTGCCTTGTGTTTGTTCACCTACCTGAATGCATGATTTTTGAACTCAGATCTGCCTGTCCAAACTCATTGTTTACTGCTTCCCTTCATACAGTTTATTCTCCAGATAAGCTGACAAGACCTGAAAAAATGTATACATTGAAGAATGAATGAGTTAATTTATGAATGAGGGAAGTAATAGAGGAAAGAGGGAGCGAGGGAGGGAAGAGAGACAGAAGGCTGGATCTTGGCCAATGTTCTTTCCACTTCTTTAAAATATGTGCTCTGTTTGCAAAAGTCCAGGAGAGAACATTGCCTGTTCATTGCACTTAGGAGATGATTTTGTTTGTTTGTTTCACATTTTGGCTAAAAAATTAGGACTTAGATAATATTTAAAAAAAATACATTCCCCTGTGGAAGATAATTCTCTTCAGTGTTCTTTCTTCAAATATTCTCTTCTATAGTTCCCTTTTTATACACTCCCATATTTTCTATTACATGATCATTTATTAAACAGTAGAGACATGAAAAGAGTGTGGGGTTTGGAAACAGATGAGAAAAGCATTTAAATATAAATCTATCTCGTTTTAGTTATATGACTTAGGGGAAGTTATTTACCTTTCTAAGCTACATTTTGTAAATTATATAACTGACAAACATTTTAACTCTTGGAGTTTTGGTAAAGGTTAAATGACATAATTCATGAGGAGTTTCTCAGATTTTGCATGTGCAGTAGATAGTAGATTATTGTTCAGAAAAATTCAATGTGTTGTCAATTTTGTCACTATTAATATCAAGAAGATAGTGACCCTGTCTTCCAGCAATGCACAGGGGCAGGTATAGAAAAATAAATCATCCATCGCTATATTCACACAATGTCACAGGGGCTAGTGGCTGCCCTGGTTTCTGCAATATGTTATTTTTAATGTGGTGCCACAGACTCAGACTGGTTTATAAGAAGACAGTCATATCCTAAGTGATGATGTACCTCCATGTCCTGATTTACAGCTGCGAGCACTGAGACACAAGCTTGCGCAGTGGTTTTATGCAGGACACCAGACCCTGGACTCCAGATTTTCCAGGAGTCCAGGATGCTTTTCTTCTTCTCTCATCCCCCACACCGTCTTTTCTTATGGTGATGAACTCAAGTTCACAGACTTCATCTTTTGCAGGTGCGCAAAATGTCCTTCTCTCATTACTGCAGCATGCTTCTCAGTGGCCTCGGTCCTGTGCCTATCAGGCTAGTTGAGTGCTAACTGATGCAATCCGGCTGGAGTTGCTAGAAGCTTAATTTATCCTCTAAGCACTTTCCCTGAGCTTCTTTGCTGCTGCTTTCCCACTAAAATGGATGGATTCGGCACACTTCATTCCCCATATCCGATTGTGCTGTCATCCTGCATGGGTTCTATGATTCTTTTAAGCCTCCTGACTGTAATTGCATTTCTAATTTTAGACCTAAGTATCACTATTTTAATGCTACAATTTAGGATTCATTTCACATGAGATAGATTAGCAGACTGCTTTGTAAACCAGACAACGTCGAAGTCTATAGAATCCTTTTTCGATTGATTAGAACATTTCATTCTGTATTTCTTTCTGAATTCTAAATTTTTCTTCTCCCAAACAACCAGCAATTATATTGAATATTTGTGTTAGGAAATGAAGAATTTCTTAGCATTTGAAACTCGGCGGTTAGCAGGTAAGAAAGGAGCCCTGGATGCACTAAACTTATCAAGGTAGCTAAAAACATGGATCGTTGTACATTATCTCACTTCAGAAATGTTGAGAGGAACTTTTTTTAGTCAAAATATTACACAGCATGTAGCATCTACTTGTGAAGACACTATTATTAGAATGACCGCCTTCTCATAATTATGCTCATGACTTAATCTTCCAAATAAAGCTTTATTTCTATTTTACTAGAGTTCTCTGAGGATGCAAGAGCACTCAAATTTCATCCTTTCAACATGAACACTTACTGAATTTCTACTGTTTAGCAGGAAATTAGCTACAGCATTTGAATGTGCGGACACAAAAATGGACGATTCATAGACTTTATATAAATTGAATTTCCTAAGTTTCCAGTGAAATTCCCCAGTTAGGATTTCTTAAATCACTTCCACCCAACCATCCACTCCTTCATTCAATTCATGTTTGTTGACAGCCTGGTGTACATGGGACTCTGTGTGGAGAGCCTCTTCTTTCTGGGAAACAAAGAATGGGCCCTAGTGTGAGGCAAGTCCTGAAGTTCGTGTTCTCGACCAAGGAATGAGAAAGAGATGGGCAGGGCCCTGGAAAGGGACACTTGGGGGTTTGGAGGCCTAACTTAGGTAGCTGGCTTTCTTTCTAACTCTCACAAATTTAGATTCCACAAATTAGGAAAGTGACATCTCAAAGTAAATAAATAGGAGAAATTATTTGTCTTCTCTATAAAATCTTCAAAGATTTAAAAAGTATATTTACATGAAATAATATGAGTGTTTATTTTCCTGGGCTAATTACGGTGCTCTCACTTCATCAAAGTCAGCAAAAGCAGTGCAAAATCAGCTTCTTTAACAACTTTTGAAAGAAAGAACCTATTCATCTAAAAATTCAGTATTTTTGACTTTTCATTAATTTCATCTGGTATCACCCAAATGGTCACAATAAGCCAGTGTTTAGATCAGACTGTGTTTAAAGTGACATGCATAAAAGTCTGGAGCCCAGATTTACACTGAGAATATTAATTGTCAGCTGGGTTCTAAAACGCGTCTCAATGAACCTCATCTTAGCACATTTTCCCCAAATGTCTTCATTGGCTTCAAACTAGGTAACTGTCAAGAGAAACCAGCTCAAGATTCCAACTCATCCCAAGTGTTTGTGGAGTGTTGGCCACACCTTACAATCATTTAGGGTCAGTAATGAGAGTGAAATCAGTTCCCACATACAACACCTTCTGGAGCTGGACCCGGCATGTGGTGAATGTTAGCTCTTGTTGCTAATATCCTAATCTATAAAGGGGAAGGACATCCTCCTTCTGCTGTTCCTCCAAGGACGAGATCTCCTTTGAAGCTCAGGAGAGAGGTTTTTAGAGGCTGATGGGCGATGCCACCCTCCCCTGAAACTCCTCAGCATGCTCCCCTGCTCCCCAGGAGTGTTCACCATAGCAATGGGTCCTACCCTGGGAAGTGTCTCTAAGGAGGCACATCTGATGCCCCATGATGACAGATGCGGGATTTATTTATTTTTACTCATTTATTTTATTTCATTTCTCCTTCAAGGCAGCCCTCAGCACCCTGTGAGGAGTGAGGGGTGAGGGCAGGGCCTGGGTGCTCTGCTCCTAGCCCCCGTGTGACCGAATCACAGGATTTCCTAGACAGCTGACATGCAGGCGGTCATGTGCCCCAGCTGGCTCCAGGGGCTTGGGCCAGGCAGGCTCCCGGCACCAACTTGGCCAGCCCCCGGGGCCCAGCTGGTCTCTGGAGGAGGAAAACAGAGACAACGTAAGAAGTCCCAGGTGGCAAGAGCCTTTCCATGAAAGCAGCCTGATGGCATCAAATTGATTTTCGTTGCCTTGTTTCCTGAAAGTGAGCTCTAGGCAGGAGGCAGAATTGTGTTCCAGGTGTGAGATGGTTATGAGTGACAGGCCGGTGTTAGCAGACGAGGGCAGAGCTGCCCGTTTCTCCCCAGCGGTAGGCCACGCATTGGCCTACTTCCATGATTCTCAGCCTCAACACCAGGGCCATCCAGGGCTGGATCATTCTCTGTTGGGGGCTGTCCTGTGTGTTGTAGGGTGCTGGTCAGCATCTCTGGCCTCTACCCAATAGGTGCCAGTAGCAACCACCATTGTTGACAATCAAAAAGGAAACCAGAAAACTCCAGACATTACTACATTTTCCTAAGGAGACAGGCAAAATCACACCCCATTTTCGAACTATTGCATTAGAAATCAGATTTCATGATCCAGCAATCCCACTACTGCGGATATATATCCAAGGGCAATCAGTATGTCAAAGAGAGACCTGCACTCCCGTGTTCAATGCAGCACTAGTCACGATATCAAGATATGGAATCAACCCAAGTGTCTATCAACAAATGAATGGATTTATCAATAAATGTGGCATATGCCACAATAGAACATTATGCAGCCTTCAGAAGATGGGAAAAACTGCCATTTGCAGCAACACGGATGAACCTGGAAGACATTATGGAGGTGAAATAAGCCTAGAACAGATAGACAAATACTGCTTGATCTCACTTGTATGTGGAATATATTTAAAAGTGGGACTTATAGTAGAGAGTAGAAAAGTGGTTACCAAGGACAGGGGTGGAGAATGGTTGGGAAAATATTGGGAAAAAAATAAAGAAAAAAATGAGATTTCCTTTTTGGCATAAACCAATGAGTTAGACATCCTTTTCCCCATTATATGAATTATGATTAAATAGTAATAGTAGTAGTAGTAGGAAGAGGAGGAGGCAGTAGTAGTAGTAGTAGTACTGGTAGCAATAGTAGTAGTGGTAGTGATAGCAGTAATGGTAGTAGTGGCAGTAGTAATGATAGTACTAGTAGTGGAAGTAGTAATATTAGTAATAGTGGCAGTAGTAATAGTAGCAGTAGTGGTAATGGTAGTAGTGATAGTGGTAGTAGTGGTGATGTTAGTGTTAGTAGTAATAGTAGTAGTAGTGGTGGTAGTAGTGTTAGTAGTAGTAATAATAGTAGTAGTGGTGGTAGTGGTTGTAATAGTAGTGGTAGTAGTGGCAGTAGTAGTAGTGACAGTGGTGGTGGTAGTAGCAGTACTGCTAATAGTAGTAGTAGTGGTGGTGTTAGTAATAGTAGTAGTAGTGCTGATAGTAGTAATAGAAGTAGTAGTGGCTATAGTGATAGTACTGGTGGTAGTAGTGGTGGTGGTAGTAATAGTAGTAGTAGTGCTGATAGTAGTAATAGAAGTAGGAGTGGCTGTAGTGGTAGTAATAGTGGTAGTAGTGGTGGTGGTAGTAATAGTGGTAGTAGTGGTGGTGGTAGTAATAAGAGTAGTAGTAGTAGTGGCTGTAGTGGTAGTAATAGTGGTAGTAGTGGTGGTGGTAGTAATAGTGGTAGTAGTGGTGGTGGTAGTAATAGTAGTAGTAGTGGTAATAGTAGTAATAATAGTAGTAGTAGTGGTTGTAGTAGTAGTAATAGTGGTAGTAGAGGTGGTGGTAGTAGTAATAGTGGTAGTAGAGGTGGTGGTAGTAGTAATAGTGGTAGTAGAGGTGGTGGTAGTAGTAATAGTGGTAGTAGAGGTGGTGGTAGTAGTAATAGTGGTAGTAGTGGTGGTGGTAGTAGTAATAGTGGTAGTAGAGGTGGTGGTAGTAGTAATAGTGGTAGTAGAGGTGGTGGTAGTAGTAATAGTGGTAGTAGAGGTGGTGGTAGTAGTAATAGTGGTAGTAGTGGTGGTGGTAGTAGTATTAAAGTAGTAGTGGCGTAGTAGTAATGGTGATGGTAGTCATAATAATAGTAGGAGTAGTAATGGTTGTAGTAGTAGTGGTGGTAGTAGTAATAATAGTAGTAGTGGCAGTAGCAGTAGTGGTAGCAGTGACAGTAGTAATAGTGATAATAGTAGTGGTAGTAGTAATATTAGTAATAGCAGCAGTAGTAGTAGTAACAGTAGCTAACGCTAATTAAGAGCAGCAAGCTTTCTGAGAACGTGGTCCAATAAACTCATGAGGGCCTCACAGTGGCCTTATGGCACAGGCGCTGAAATGGAGGGTGATTCCAGTGTGTTGCCTCCAGGGCATCAGTCCCCACTTTTACAGGGGCCTTCAAGGTGCAACACAAAATTAACTATTTTACATATCATGGAAGAGCCAGTGAGGTAGGGCTCAGGACAGAGTGTCTGCTGGGTTCTCTGACTTCATTTCAGAAAACATTCCTTGTGTATCTATGCCTAAGGGTTTGTGCTAGGTTATTGGGAGGTACAGAGATGGCATAGTGCTGCTCCTGTCCTCTAGGAATTGATTAGAGTTCAGCAAATGGAAATGTAGACAAGTAACCACATATATTGTTGAGGGCAATGTCCATTCTCATAAGAAGTCACCTTGAGATACACAGATATGGATATGAATATAGTCCTTGGTCAGAGTTCCCCAATCTGGGCACTGCAGACATCTGAGGATGAATGACTATTTGTTTTAGGGTTTGCCCTGTGTATTGTTGGATGCTTTTCAATATCTCTAGCTTTTACTACTAGATGCAAGGACTACCTTCTCACCAACCCCTCACCCAAGTTATGGCAACCCAAAATGTCTCAGATATTGCCAAATGACCTTGAGGTGCCACTGGTGGATGGCCCAGATCTGGTAGGCATGCAGAAAGGTCTCTATAACAGATACAAACCACACTGCTGGTCTCCAGCTGGCCTTCCTCCATCACATCCCAGTGGAGGAGGCTGCAGGGAGAGACACAGAAGTTTCTTCCCTCCCAAGGCCTCAGGACACAGAGGCTTCCCAGCGCACAGAGGAGAGTGGGGTGATTGTTCAGTTTAAATTAATCAAAGCAGAACAAATTGCAGTAAGCAAGAAGCCCTTCTCTCTCATTGGATTCCATTTTAACTGTCATTGAGAAAATCAAGAGAACAAACTAGGAAGAGGTAAGACACATGGGAGAAGTGTACAGAGGGAACACAGGCACAGATTCCTTCATAATTAGTCATGAGTGCGAAGACTGGGATGCTCATTATTTACCAAGTAGACCACAGGTGCTGGGAGCACATGTGAATATTTGCTCTGCTCATTCTCCAAACGAGCTGTGGACTGAGAATGAAAAATATGCTTTTGGAATAAATTAATGTTTGTGATTCTGGAATATTTTGTGCTTATGAGGAAAATGCCATTTTTTTTCACATTTGAGAAGTTTTTACCTTATCTAGCACTGCATGTCTTTAACTGCTTGTAAACATAGAAATACTATCCGATTTATATCTCTTTTAAAATCATTATTCCAAAGCCCTGCCCTGTACCTTTCAGCTGGGAAGTTGATATTTAAGGTACACTTAAAAAATAAAATACACCAGGACACTAGACTGTTTTTAATAAAAATAAGCTGCCCACATAATACACATTGTATGAAAGAGAAAGGATTAATAAAAAATATCTTCCCCACCTGCCTACCACAGCGGGGGAGGTATTTCTCTGGGTTAAGTCATTGTCTGCAGATGGTCCCATAGAAACACAAATATGTTACTCAGAACAAGATAATGCAATAATCAACACATTATCACCAAGTTATTAATGAGGTAAGCCAATTAGGACATTCACTCACTCAACATTTACTGTAGGATTACCATATGCCCACTGCTGCTTAAGTGCTGAGGGCACAGAAGGAAAGCAGACGTGAGCCCTTGTCTCCGGAAGGACACAGTTTGTTGAGAAAGATAAACTTATAAACATATAAGCTGCAGTTGTGACATGACACGCTTCAGCTTAAACTGTTGATTTCCCTCGAGTGCTGTTGTCAATCCCGTTTTCAGGAGGACCACATCAGCACTTCCCAGCCTGGCTGCAGATCAGAAGCACCTGGGCGCTCTTTAAATCTACAGCTGTCCAGCCTTCCCAACAACCCCAGACAAATTAAATCCTAATCTCTGGAGTGGCTAGGAAGCAGCAGAATTTTTAAACTTCCCTGGGTAATTCTGTTGCACGGTTAGGATTAGAAATCACCATTCTACTTCTTTCCCTTGCATAATTACACCCCAAGGCAAGACTTTAATTTCTCTGTTTCCTGATCTTGCCTAATCAGTAGAATTACAGTGATGACAATTACTGTAATATAATTTCTCAGGGCTCTCTCTAGAAGGACTGATTCAGCTTGGGTAAAAACTAAGAAATCTGCATTTTTTAGAAATGCTGTATGTGATTCTTAGGATAAAAGTTTGAAAATAACCGAGAAACATATGTGTAGCTTCAGAATTGACTTCACCTGCTCATTGCACTAACTACTTGTTCCCACATATATGACCAATCCAAGCTGCAAATTTGTCCTGGAACACTCATCAGAGTCCTGATCTAACGAACGATTCTATCAAAACACCTCCCCTCTCTTCCATTCTCATCTAGACATCTAGGGGAAGGTCTCTACTCCTCTGTGGGAGCTTCTCGTCTCATAAATTCCCCAAATAATAGGAAAGTCCACAACCCTCAGCGTGTGGCTGGAGCCAGCTTTCCCAATTCGTGATGCATACATTTCTTCCCAGCTCTAAGCTCAGTCAAACTGGTGGCTTTAATTCATCAAGGGTGGAAATAGTTACACCTCAGGAATTGACCAAGACCACAAATTACAACTCTTCTTTTTTTTCATTTTGGATAACTGGTGCTCAAACATTTACCAGCAAACCAGTGGCATTCACCCATTTTCCTCAAGGGAGAAGAGACACCAGTCTTGCTGGGATACAGTCGAGCAGAATCTGGAAAGACTTCAGCTTGAGTAAATGCTCAGAAAGGTAATAATAGGACATTTGATATGGCGTGGTTAGAAAATAAGTCAAACTTCTTGACATTAACAGACAGACAAGATGTCAGCAGAGTGATGGAATCAAAGAAGATTGATCATCCACTCGAAATAATGCCTCACATTTTTTTCTGGGGTTACTCCTGAACGACATCAGTTCATTTTATTTAAACAGCCCCATTTTCTATTTCGTAACAAAATACTTCCTCATAGTTAACATGGCTGACATGGAGGAAGTGTTTACTTTGTGGAAAAGGTTGTGAATTTTCCCCCTCTCAAAGGATGATGTTAAGCATTCTCTTGGCAAAATGATTTATATTAAGTATGTTAGATACAAATTTTATTAGTATCGTTACAGATTTTTTTGAGTTTTTAAGTCATTATTCAGTAACGGCAGCTGTTTTGTGATTGGTCTTTTTTTAAGAATCAATACAAAAGACCATTCTTTATTACAGTATTAGTTCATGGCAACTGCAGGGAAACATTATTTTCAGGAGGAATGAACGTATTTCGATGATTTAAATCCTGAGATGAAGAGAAAACCTAACCTTTGGACTTTCAGGCTGATGGGACCCACATCTAGGAGTGAAAATGCCCGGTGTGGGTGAGTGTGGCGGGGCCAGAAGGCGCAGCGCGTTAGGATCCTGCCTTTGACACCAACATGTGCTCACATTCTACACTATTGCCATCCTGATGACCTCTGCATTCTGCACCAAAAATAAATGAAAATTATCAGTCTTCTAGAAAGCATACAGTATGTATCATTGCCAGAGGTATTCAACACAAAATAAAATGAATAATAGCTAAAATGGAACCTAGTAAAATGTATTATAGACAAAAGAACTGCCTGAGTAATTATGTCTTATTAGTAACACTAAAAAACTGCAAAAAATGACCTGGGAACAATCCGACATGTTTGAAATAATCAACACAAAGTAGAATATACTATTGCCTATAAGGATTTGCTTTGTAATAGAAATAAAAAATAAACTGAGGGAACTGAGTGAGGAAAGAACAGAAGAGAGTAATTAAAAATAAGAAATGTTACTGTTAGAATAAGGAGAGGGAAAAACAAGGTCTAAGAATATGAGGTGGGGGCAGGAAGAGCTAAGGAGATGCTGGTACCCTGCCCAGCACATGGGAATCCCTCCCAGCCTGTCCCCCTCTGCACACACCATACCCAGCCCCAGACAAATCAACTGGTGTCTGACACACAGGGATTTGTTGGGTGGATGTACGTATGCATGCATATATGCACGCATGCATGTCTGTGTGTATGTGTTAAGCATGTGAGCATTGTGAAAACCAGCTAATGGGAAGGACTTTTCATTGAGCTTCTATTTCTCAATAAAGAGATACAGGAAATTACAGAAATGAGAAGGCAGTGTTTTATCTTTTATAGACTATCAGGGTGAAGATTAAGCCAAATAACTGGATTAACAACAGGCAGGGGCCCTCCTCAACATCTGTGGGGCCTCATCCTCTTTGAGGGCCTCATCTATTCAACAACAGGCACTGACTAAGTACTTACAGTGACAGGTCTCTATGATAGGTGCTGCGCGTGTGATGTGAACCAGGACAACTCTCTCCCCTCAGAAAGTAAAAATCTGGTAGATTTTGGTATTGAAAGGAAAATTAATTCTGTTCTCTCTGTAGAAGAAGATAACTGGACCACTGAATGTTCAGTTTTTAGTCTTGAAACATCAAGCTTGGTTCTACCAAAAATGACTTCATGTGGCAAAACAAAAAACAAACAAAAAATACATGTATCACCTGAATTCCCTAATCCTGAAACTCATTTTTGTCTCCTTCCCTCTTAGGATTCCACTGTATGTGGGGCCCTGCACTCACCACTACCTTCACACAGGTCCCATGGAATGATCGTTTTTTGTTATCTATCTTCCCAGAGGCTCTTTGACCTGACAGCAGAGATTGAGCATTTGCCTACAATGTTATCTCCCTTTATGCTAGCCCATGATAGCCTAAAGAGACTCCATATCCTCATTTCAGCACAGAATTCATCTCGGTATCCCATGGCTTTACACATCTTCTTTCTTCAGATTTCTCTCTCTTCCCTTGGCTTCAGTATTTGGACAGGTACCACTGTGCTTTCTTTCTTCATGCTGTTTGCTTCCTCAAGATTTGGTTTTCTGTGTAATCCTTGTAGACCCCATTATTTTACTTAAATCATATAGTTAAAATCAAAGAAGGCTATGATATCCACATATCACCATTACCATCTGGATGCCAGTCACCTCGATCTTGGTCTCAAAACTGTTTGTGGACAGTTTATAATTCCACTGATTTCTTGAAAAGAAATCAAGGAAAGACAAGCAATTTATGAAGTTTTAATTTATTGGGTCTGTTAAGTTACGTATTTTTCTTGATATTTTAAAATATTGCTATATTTATTAATGTTAACTATTCAGTAACTTACAAGTATTTCCAAAATTAATAGTAATTTGAAGTTATTAAATGCCAGAGTTGTATCGCATTTGATTAATCTTCACCTTAATATAAGGAAATATATTGTTTGATGGGTTTGTGGATATTATTAGGTAAACAGTTATACATTTACCACATTCCAGAAATTAAACATCTCAAGACTATCTCATTCTTTTATTTCAAAAAAAATACACATTTTCAAATTCAAAAGCAATGCCATGTTAATATTTAATGGACTGATGCATCCTTTTCATTTTCAGATTTATGTAGTCATTGTCCTTGGATCCTGAACAAGAAAATAATCTGGAGTGAGCTGTGGTCATCTGTGTGTGTTTGCATTTGTGGAATAATTTTCCACCACTGCTTATTCCTATGAGAATGAGAGTAAGAAGCAGCTGATGGATTCAGATTGGGTGTAATTATTAAAGCTGCTCTCTAACCTTTGTAAAACTTTACAAGCTTAGACAATAAAAGAGAGCAGAAATACTTTTACACACATGACCCAACTTGGTTCTTGGCCATTCAATGTGGAGACCCAAGTAATGATAATATAAGGCAGAATAGAGTAAATGTATGATTCAGTCATAGTTTTATACAAATTTAACTTCCTCTTTTCTGAGAAAATGTGTGCCACCTTAGGTTAATCTTTATGTCTATAGGGGTAAAAGGGCCGAGCCAACAATATTTTTCCTTGAATTTCTTCCCTTTAGAGTACCTACCTAAAAGCATGTGTATACACACACACACACACACACACACACACACACACACACACACAGGGCACTGTATATATTTCTTCATTGTTTCTTAATTTTTCTCTTCTTAAAACAGCTTCAGTGGCCTCAGGGCCCAAGTTCTGTAGGCTCAGTCATCTCCTTGTATTCCTCTCACAGAATAGATGCTCAATAAATGTATTTTGACTTGTTTCCTATCTAACTATAAGGAACTGAACAGGTAAATAGATAGCTAAATAAATACAAAGAAAATAATCTTGAGGAATTAAAAAAAAATCTTTCTAACAATATATTTTGTATTGGATGGATATTTATGCCTAAATTAACAAAGTAACTGAAAGTGCTTATAAGCAAAAACAGTTGTTAGCAAAGTCATTAATTAGGGTTGTTTTGGCTGCAATGTAAAGGACAATTACTCTTTTAGTTTAAGATTTAGCCATATTGAAAGTCTGCCATTGAGTAAGGCTATTGTGTTAAGCTTATCCTCTTCTGGGAAATTTCACACATAATTGTGAAATCCAAGAACTTTAACTCTTACTGACATGCCATAATGACTGTAATAAACTATGGACTCTGAGTCCACAGACTTAGAATCTAGTTCAAACAAATAAATGAAATGTATTTAATAAAGCAAGTCTGAACACAATTAAGCAAGATACGGGTTATAAGTTTTCGCATTTCTAATCAATAAGTACTTATTGAATGTTAGGTACTTGTCTAGTGACTGACAGATAGACCACTGGGCCCAAATCCTAAAGTCTAAAAAGGCAACACCTCCTACAGTAGGTGTGCCAGATTTGGCAAAGAAAGATACAGGGTACCCAGTTAAATCTGAATTTGAGATTAAAACAGGGATTTTTGTTGTTACTATAAATACTTCCCAAAGAGGGAAATATTTGAACAAAAGGAAAAGGAAAGTAAAATAATCCAAGAGAAAACAGTATCCCAGATGAAGCACAGAAGCCACGTGAACAAGACATATATTTAGGAACTAAGGAGAAGCTCAGTTTACCTGGAGGAGAAGGTGCTAGGTCTCAGAAGAGGACACTTGCTTAATGTTTGTCTTGTGTATTAGATACTATTGCTAACTGTGTTATACTTGGATTACATTAACTCTTTTCATCACTTTTGCTAGGTAGGAATCATAACTTTCATTTTACTGATGGAGAAATTGAGCTTTAGAGAGGAAAATCCATGCCCAAGTTTACACAACAAAAATCAATGGGCCGGTCATGGTGGCTGATGCCTGTAATCCCAGCACTTTGGGAGGCTGAGGTAAGCAGATCACCTGAGGTCAGGAGTTTGCGACCAGCCTGGCCAACATGGTGAAACCCTGTCTCTACTAAAAATCCAAAAAGTTAGTCGGGCATAGTAGTGGGTGCCTGCGATCCCAGCTACTTGGGAGGCTGAGGCAGGAGAATCACTTAAACCCAGGAGGTGGAGGTTGCAGTGAGCCAAGATGGTGCCACTGTACTCCAGCCTGGATGACAAGAGTGAAACTGTCTGAAAAAAAAAAAAAAAAGAAATCAGTGAGGCCAGATACAACCAGCACTATCCAATTCCAAACACAATTCCCTTCTAGTGAGCTACGCTGCCTTACCTGTAGATAAATAATTGTTAAATTTAAGACAAAATTGGATATCCAAGTCGTAAGTGGTCAGATTCTGGAGGCATTGTGGTCAGATTCTGGAGGCATTCAAAGTAGAAATAATACATTATCCAATGAGTGATTCTTTTTTCCCTAAAAACAGAAATGCATCACCATGTGCCTCCAATGTACATCACTCATCTTGGCTTTCCTACACATCTCCTAGCAAATGCCTTAAGCTCCACCACCAACAAGGAAGCTGTTCCACTTAGGTCGGCCATTCAGAATTCAATTCTCACATTCTCACAGGTGCTAACTTCTAAATCCCTGATCAAACACAACTGTTAATTAAGAATACTCAATATAATTCTCACCTCCAACATGTGTCAACTCCACACTCCCTGATCAAGCTGAAATCTGGTATGATCCCCCCACAATAACTGTTTACATGCTAAGATCGCACTCTCTGCAGAGAGGTAGACAAGTACTACACTTTCTACATTTGGAGGTAATTGTATTCGCCACTGTGAAATTCACCATAACAGTCTACATGAAGATCAATTTTATGGAAAATATAACAATCACAAAGCCGTGAAAAATAGATTGGGGCAAAACGTATGAGATTTAGTTGTTCCCTCCATTGCTCTTCTAATATTCCTGATGAAATGTCCATGTCTAAAATAATAGCCAGGGGAGTTTAGAAGCATTGAATTTGATCCAGTTGTGAAAAAATAAGCATACAACTATGAGATTGCCATAGATTTTTGGTTGTTTTTAAAGTTCAAAGAAATAGACAATAAAGCATGAATACAAAATGACTTTTGAGAAATAACGATGATTCTGAGAAAACTATTAAACGAAAAAACAACTCTTGGCATTAGCTATGTTGGTCTGTTTCAGCTGTTTGACTTGAGTTTGGAGAATTTGTATGTGGGAATGGCATAAGAGAATAATTCACAGGAATTTTTTCATTGACATTTATAAGATACAATGAAAAGAACATAGGATTTAGAGTAAGACAGACTCCAGTTTAAATCCCAGTTCCTTCTGATTTCAAGATGGCTTAATGCTGGTTCAGTTACTCATTCTCTATTGCTTCAGTTTTCTCCTCTGTAACATGGGGAGTAAGAAAAGCACAGAGAGCAGTACTGGTCGGTAATTCATAAGTGCTAATATCCTGCAGTAACCACCTACATTGAATTCTAGACTAATTTTCTGTTTAACTTGGAGATGTATGAGTTACGTTAATATTATAAAGGACTTTAAAATGTAGACTTTAAAGTGAAAAATAAGTTTGAAGTGTGCAGGCTTAGTGCACAGCCTCACCCACCTGGAAGGTATTTCTACTATGGTAATAAGTGGTGGGTACATGGTGTTGTCTCCTTCAGCTAAGAACAAGGGCCAGAATCAACAGGCATTCCTGTCTCACTCGCTCTCTTTTGCTACAGTTTGTTCCAAATTGATATGGTGTGGCTGTGTCCCCACCCAAATCTCATCTTGAATTGCAGCTCCCATAATTCCCACATGTTGTGGGAGGGACCTGGTGGGAGATAATTGAATCATGGGGGCAGTTTCCCCTACACTGTTCTCGTGGTAGTGAATAAGTCTCACAAGATCTGATGGTTTTATAAGGAGTTTCCCCTTTCACTTGGCTCTCATTCTTTCCTCACCTGACACCATGTAAGACATGCCTTTCACCTTCTGACATGATTGTGAAGCCTCCCCAGCCACATGGAATTGTAAGTCCATTAAACCTCTTTTTCTTTATAAATTACTCGGTCTCAGGTATGTCTTTATCAGCGACATGAAAACGGACTAATACACCAATCTTTTAATTAGACCCTAGAAAACATAGAGCTTTTCTTACAAAGAGAGAAGATATTTCAGATCCAAGACACCTTGGCTCTGGTGCTTTCTTTCTTGTTCCATATTTGCCTCTTTAGTTTCCATTAATCTTCATGACTCTCCCGAGATGTGCTCTCTCTTCCTCGTATTAGCTATGTGATCCCCGTATTTCCCTATCTTCTAAAAGCTTCAAGTATTTCATGTGTTAAATGAGATAAGACAGTTATGAGGATTCAATAACATTGGCTCATCCTTGGCACTTGTTCAGCATCAGCATAGGTTGGTGAGTTCTTTCTTCTCTCCAATCTTCTCTTCCATTGTATCCCCCCCTCCTATTCTAGCTACGTGTTTCATTTGGAAGCCAAGCTTTTCCACTTTGCTGCTTGATTTCTGACTTACTGATTTGCCCCTAACTTTTCGACCAGTGGCCGCTCTTATGTCTCGGCTGCACATTCACAGCTCATAAAAACCCTGACTGCGGTGCTCTACTGAGTCCTTAGAACCGGATGTCTGCTTCATCTACTTCCTGTAACAATGCAACCTTCAAGAACCATGGCCTAGGAAAGGATCATAAGCCCCTTCCCTGGGCAGGGAGAGAAAATATGGAAGGGTTAAACATGTCACACTTTTTTTCAGTTTTCTATTGCCAAATATTTTATTTCAGAAAAGTCACCAGACCTCATACCTACTACTTGTCACTGAGACAGACAAGTGACCCAGAATTTCTATTCTCCACAGTGATTGATTTAGTGAGCTGGCTTATAAAGTGATTCTTCACTTACTATTTTTTTTAAAACTTTCATTTCTATTCTTCTGGACTTCTGGAATAATGTTTGGTATGCGAGGCTTGACTTGAAAGCTGGCATTTTACTTTCTGTGTCCCAGAATTATAACTTTGCTGCTCACAAGAAGGGAGGCTCCATCCAATCATTAAAACTTCTGGACTTTGGATGTTTAAAGGGAAAGAATTGTAATGGATCTGTATTGCATGTTTATTCAAGGAAAAATATTCCTTTTTTGCTTCACGTGGAGCTCATGCTTGGAAAAAATAAAAACAAAAGCAAACTACAATTCAATGGTATTGTAGTCTATAAACTTAAGTACATGTTTCCATTCAATTATGTATCAACAGAGAGCTGCTAGTGCGAACTTCTAGTTGGCACATAAAATACAAAGCTACCAGCCGTGGGGCTGTACTGACAGAGAAGTTGGATGTTCAGAAATCACAGGTGTAGCTCAACCAGGACAAGACAAAAGGGCAAGTTTGACTCTCCTAAGTCATTACTAAGGAATTCATTCAGGAGACCAAATGCCATGGCCTGGAAGACAACATCTAAGATTCTAAAGTCTAACAAATAAAAGAGCAAAAGGGAATCAAGCAGGAAGTACCTGAGGAAACTGAGATGAGCACTGCAGCATTTCTAAACTGGACTTTCCTTATCAGTGGGTGCCGGGGATGGGAGAGGTAACTCAGTGATGGAGCACGGAGAGAACATGTCACCACGTTGAGTGAGACAGACAAAGTGAGTAGAAGAAGGAGGGGAAAGACAGAAAGGGAGGAAGGGATACAGGAAGCGAGGGAGGGAAGGAAGAAATGAAAGAGAGGAAGGGAGGAAGAAAGGAAGGAAAGAAGGAAGGAAAGGAGGGAGGAAGACAGGAAAGGAGGCAGAGAAAAAAGGATGAGAGAGAAGGAAGGAGGAGAGGGAGGGGGAAGGGAGAGAGGAAAGAAAAATGGAAAGGAAAGAAGAAAGAAAAGGAAAGAAAGAAAGAGAGAAAGAAAGGAAGAAAGAGAAAGAAAGAAACAGAAAGAAAGAAAGGAGAAAAGAAAAGAGAAAAGAAGAAAAGAACTAAGAAAGGAAGAAGGAAAGAAGGAAGGGAGAAAGGGAGGAAAATGGAAGAAATGAAAGGACAGAAAGAAAGAAAGGAAATAAATTGATTGTTGAGTCATTTTCTGTGACTTAAATGATGAATGTCTAATTTTTTATTAGGCTCTTTAAAATACTGAAAGTGGTGTCTACATCGTTAGAGTTTCTTTCTTAAACCCAGAGGCAGAACCACTGCATTGGATGATTGATGAGGTAATCTTTAGTTGTGTAGAATTCATAAGGTAATCATTAGTTAAGTAGAATATGATATACTTATATAGTAAAAACTTATTTAACTCACCTGGTGTTAGCCTTATCTCTCGTGTGTTGCAAAGAAATCCACCCATGTTTGCTAAAGGCAATGTAAAGTACACCTGTAGGTAAAAGCATATGGTTTTCACTAAATCAAAAAAATGAAGAGCTCTCTAGGGAAAAGTGAATTATCTAATCTGATAAGTTCCAGGCAGTCATATTATGAAGGAATTTTAAGTTTCAATAAATTAAGCAAAGTAGAAGCCCATGTCATTTCTATTCCCACATCATCTAAAATTTCAGAAAATAAAGTTGTAATATTTTTGGATGGTGGGCAAAATATAGATTAGCAGCCTATGTTAATTCACTTTTGTATGCACTGGAACCCACTGCAAAGGGAGAAGCGTGCATTTTCACAGCAATTAGAATTACATTCCTGCACGAGGGCCATGCGCCTCTGGATTAGAAGATGTGTCACCCAAATATAGGATAAAGCAACAGCCCGAGAAGGCAAGCAGTGGAATCGCCTCCATGCACCATCCAATATCACCAGGGCTGGCACTAAACTTTTCGTGCATTATTTTTTTCAAGCTGCTTCTTCTTTTTTTTTTTTTTTTTTCAAGCTGCTTCTTATGTGGGCACCTCTATTTCATGGCTTCAGAGGAATGTGCAGCATTATTCTCTTTAGCAATGCGGAAGAGGTTGGCACAATAATTTCTTTCCTTTAAAATGTTGTATTTGACTATTATAAGACATTTATTCATCATTACAGGTGACAAATTTTGAGCCCTTTTAAATTTATCTTCATGAGAAAGTTCTGAAATGATGCAATGGGAATATATTTGCATGCTTAGTAATAAGACATTAGTAAGTAGATAACACCTAAAGAATCACTATCTCAGGTGTGAGAATGAAGTCCAAAGCTAGGAGAATGGTTAGGCAGGTGACAAATCCAAGGTGAAAACGGTAGAATCTCCTCCATGATGAGAAAAAGACCTAAGACTGGTCTTAAATTTCAGTCACTGGGCTGGGTAAGAAATGTGGAGAGGGGCGAATATTTAGGGTATGGGGTAAATAAATGACAACGAGTTCAAATTCTGATGAGGCAGTCTCAGAAATCAAGAACTGAATCCAGAACGAAGGCTCTGCTGTGGCGCCTGGGCTTCAGAAAGAGTGCCCTAGTAGCCAGGAGAAAGATGTCCTTGAAGAAACACATTGGCCTTGTTCAAACGACAGGCCTTGCTATTATGAGCGTTGACACTGTAGATGTTTGAGGTGAGGGATGCGGGAGTACGGCTCCAGGATGAGAAGAGTCAGGAAAGGAAGCAAGGAGTTAATTAAGTGGAAGGGAAACAAAGAAGAAAATCTACTAGAACCTGGGTCTATTCAAAAATCGAGGCCTTTCTGAAATTTGCTTCCATCTGCTCACACCGGCATGACAGATGGGCAGCTTGAGGGTCTCATACTCACACACCCAGGCCCACAGCGAGCCCAGATCCTTTTCCAAATGACGCCACTTAAGTGCATTTTCCTTTCTAGACTTAATCTTTTCCTACATCTGTTCTCTCTAAAATATTCATTCTAGGCTGGGCATAGTGGCTCACAGCTGCAATCCTGGCACTTTGGGAGGCCTAGGCAGGAGAATCACTTGGGCCCAGGAGGTTGAGACCAGCCTGGGCAACATAGTGAGACCCCATCTTTAAAAAAAATTAGCTGGGCATGGTGGCATGTGCCTGTAGTTCAAGCTACTCAAGAGATTGGGGCAGGAGGATCACTTGAGCCCAAGAGGCTGAGGCTGCAGTGAGCCATGATTGCACCACTGCACTGCAGCCTGGTCAACAGAGCGAGAACCTGTCCCAAAAATAAGATAATAAAATAAAGTAAAATCCTCATTCTGGGGCAAAGAGTGTAACATATAAATGATTATTTCTGGTTTTGTCGCTAGTTCTCCCAATTCTGCATCCTATTTAAGTTTTGGTATCCAGAAGCTTTTCCTGACTGTTGCCCTAAGACCTTCCGACCATCTGGAGCCATTCTCTCCTACCTCATTCCCAGTGGAAAGTGAGGTTAGGTATTCAGCACTATATACACAATGTCCCTAATGCATATTCCACAGTGTTTAATGACTTACCAATTGCCTTATGTTCCTACATGTTTGTAAATACATCAGCTGCTGAAGACAGGAGGAAATGGTAAAATCAGCCTGCAAGAAACTCTGGAAGACTTTTTACTGGATTCTCCTTTGAATGGTACCTGTGGAGTTTCTCTTAATGAGCTGAATTGGTTTCATTATTTGTAATTGAGCTGCAGGTAACTCCTTTAAAAGGCAGATTATTCCCCGAGAGATGTGAGCAGAACACTCCTGGCCTGCCTGTGAGGCTCTGGAATGCCCTGTGGGTCTCTCTGGTCCTGACTTGGAGCACTTAAGGCTGATGCTTCTGGAGCTCACAGCCTTTCATTTGCAGACTATACATTTTCCTTCTTTCTTCCAAACCTCATGCTTTCCTATTACTTACCTCATTGTCATCCGCTAACCTGGAAGTACTTCAGAAAGTCAAAGTTCTCTTCCCTTTCCTCTTTTTCTACACTCTTGTTATATTGTTATTGTTTAGCTTTTTTAATTCCAAAATGCTTGGGAGCAATGCTTAACACCAACTGCATGGACTCCTCTCTGACAATCTCTGCAGAAAACTCCCCAGATTACAAACTGACTCTCAAGCACCTCCGTGTACTTGGAATATCTAAAGGAGGAATATGCATATGCTATACTTATATACTTATCACACACACACAAGCCTGAATCTGAGGAGTTCAGTATGTTTCAGAGAAAAACAAAACAGTCTTCAGCAAAGAACTTGGGTAATCAAACTCTGTATTAGTTTGGTGAAAAGTAGTTGCATTTTTTGCCATTAAAAGTAATGACCAAAACCGCAATTTCTTCTGCACCAACCTGATAGAACTTAAATGCTTTTGATTTAGTCACATTTCCTGAAGCATGACTCGTAAATGAGGATATTTAAAAGGGCAGCATTGTTCATGGGGTGGAAATCTGGCCTGAGAACAGAAGAGATTATTTCTAAGATGATTCGATCCCTGGAGGAATTTAGACGAGTCGTTTGTCTTATTGGAGACTCAGTCTCCACATTTTAAATCAAGTCACTGGGAGCAACAGGCATTCTGAGATGATGTCTGGCTCAAAAATCCATCTTCTAAATTCAAATACTTTACACCGAATGATTTCGTTGCAATCTGTATTAATGTAACTGTCCAGAAATTGGGGTAATCTCACTATTTTGTATTTTTAAAAAATAAATGTTTTGACACAACGAATTTTGATCTACAGAAAAAAATCACAGTCTCTGTAGAGAGCTCAGGGAATGCTGTTAAACCTCATGCTCAAGTTCTCCTAGTAAAGATCTTATTTAGCATAGTATAGCCTTTTACAATTGAAAAACAATACATTCTTATTAACTAAAACCAATGTTTTATTTAGATTTCTCTAGTTTTTACTTAATGTCTTTTTTTTTTGTTCCAGGTTTGCAGCCCAAAACCACATTCCACTTAGCCACCATGTTTCCTTAGGCACTTCTGGGCTGTGACAGCTTCTCAGGTTTTCCTTGTTTTTGATTACTTTATAGGTTTGAAGAGTACCGGCCAGGTATTTTGTAGAATGTCCTTTACTTGGGATTTGTCTGATGTTTATCTCATGATTAGATTGGGCTGTGGGTTTGAAAAAGGAAGACCACAGAGATAAAGTGTCATTGTTATCACCTTATATCAAGTGCATATACCATCAAGATGACTTATAATTGTTGATGTCACTCTTCATCACCTGGCTGAGGCAGTGTTTGTCAAGCGTCCCCTTTTTCTGGCTGTACTCTTTGAAAGGAAGCCAGTATGCTCAGCTCACACCTAGGGGATGGGGCTGTGGATTGCACCTCCTTGGAGGTAGAGCATATATGTTGTTTGGATTTTTTTAAAATTGTTTCTCATTCTTATTTATTTCTTTATTCAATAATATATTTACATCAGTATGGACTCATGGGTATTGGCTCTATACTTTAACTTATAATCAAATCTGTCTTTTTTATTTTTTTCATGCGCATCCGTGTGAAGAGACCACCAAACAGGCTTTGTGTGAGCGAAATGGCCGTTTATTTCACCTGGGTGCAGGCGGGCTGAGTCTGAAAAGAGAGTCAGCGAAGGGAGATAGGGATGGGGCCGTTTTATAGGATTTGGGTAGGTAAAGGAAAATTACAGTCAAAGGGGGGTTGTTCTCTGGCGGGCAGGAGTGGGGGTCACAAGGTGCTCAGTGGGGGTGTTTTCGAGCCAGGATGAGCCAGGAAAAGGACTTTCACAAGGTAATGTCATCACTTAAGGCAAGGACCGGCCATTTACACTTCTTTTGTGGTGGAATGTCATCAGTTAAGGTGGGGCAGGGCATATTCACTTCTTTTGTGATTCTTCAGTTACTTCAGGCCATCTGGGTGTATACGTGCAAGTCACAGGGGATGCGATGGCTTGGCTTGGGCTCAGAGGCCTGACATTCCTGCCTTCTTATATTAATAAGAAAAATAAAACAAAATAATGTTGAAGTGTTGGGGTGGCGAAAATTTTTGGGGGGTGGTATGGGGAGAGAATGGGCGATGTTTCTCAGGGCTGCTTCAAGCGGGATTAGGGATAGCGTGGGACCCTAGAGTGGGAGAGATTAAGCTGAAGGGAGGTCTTGTGGTAAGGGGTGATATTGTGGGGATGTTAGAAGAAACGTTTGTCGTATAGAATGATTGGTGATGGCCTGGATAACGGTTTTGGATGAATTGAGAAACTAAATGGAATAACAGAAGGAGAAAAACAGGTATAAAAGGTCTAAGAATTGGGATGACTCAGGATATCTGATTAGAGAGTGCCTAAGGAGATTCAGCATAGTCCTGCCAGCAAAGATTATTTATTTACTTCAAGAGTTAAAAGTGGCAGTTTGGGGATAGCATCAGGAGATATCAGCTATGATGGCTTGGAAAAACAGTATAAACTGGCAGTGTAAACAAGAGCAGGGCATGTACGAGTAGTTGAGAACAGTGAATAGGAGTATGACTAGACAGAAGATAGTAGGGATGACAAGTTTTTGGGGGCACAGTCTAAGTTGGTCTGGTGTCTGGAATGAGACTGGGGCCTAATAAAAAGGAGCATCTATACAGGAGCTTAAATGGGCTGTACCCTGTAGCATTCCGAGGACAGGCCTGAATTCTGAGAAGGGAAAGTGGTAAAAGTATTGTCCAGTCCTTTTTAAGTTGGTGGCTGAGCTTGGTGCAGTGTGTTTTTAAAAGACCTTTAGTCCATTCTACTTTTCTTGAAGACGGATGACCGTAAGGGATATAAAGGTTTCACTGAATACTAAGAGCCTGAAAAACTGCTTGGCTGATTTGACTAATAAAGGCTCATCTGTTATCAGACTGTATTGAGGTGGGAAGGCTAAACTGAGGAATTATATCTGACAGAAGGGAAGAAATGACTGCGGTGGCTTCTCAGACCCTGTAGGAAAGGCCTCTACCTATCCAGTGAAAGTATCTACCTAGACTAAGAGGTATTTTAGTTATCTGACTCAGGGCATTTTGAGTAAAGCTAATTTGCCAGTCCTGGGTGGGGCAAATCCTCGAGCTTGGTGTGTAGGGAAGGGAGGGGGCCTGAATAATCCCTGAGAAGTAGTAGAATAGCAGATGGAACACTGAGAAGTTATTTCCTTGAGGATAGATTTCCAAGATGGAAAGGAAATGAGAGGTTCTAAGAGGCGGGCTAGTGGCTCGTACTATAGCATAACCTGCCTTTGCTGGTGTGTGGCGATTAGGCCTGGTGGAACCGCCATCAATAAATCAAGCATGATCAGGGTGAGGAACAGGAAAGAAGGAAATTTGGGGAAATGGGGTGAATGTCAGGTGGATCAGAGAGATACAGTCAAGGGGGTCAGGTGTGGTATCAAGAATAATGTGGGAGGCCGGATTGAAGTCTGGGCCAGGAACAATGGTAATTGTGGGAGATTCAACCAAGAGTGAGTATAGCTGAAGGAGCCGGGAAGCAGAGAGTATATGCGTCAGCTATGAGGAAGAAAATAGATTTTGGAAGTTATGAGAACTGTAGAGAGTGAGTTGAGCATAGTTTGTGACTTTGAGGGCCTCTAAAAGTATTAGGGCAGCAGCAGCGGCTGCACGGAGACATGATGGCCAGCCTAAAACAGTAAGGTCAAGTTGTTTGGACAAAAAGGCTATAGGATGTGGTCCTGGCTTTTGTGTAAGAATTCTGACTGCGCTAACCATGCCTAGGAAGGAAAGGAGTTGTTTTGTAGAAGGTGCTTGGGTTTGAGAGATCAGTCGGACACGATTGGCAAGGAGAGCACGTGTGTTTTTATGAGAATTATGCCGAGATAGGTAACAGATGAGGAAGAAATTTGGACTTGATTGAAATAATGGGGGCTGTCTGTGAAGCTTTGCGGCAGTACAGCCTAGGTAATTTGCTCAGCTTGATGGGTGTCAGGGTCAGTCCAAGTGAAAATGAAGAGAGGCTGGGATTAAGGGTGCAAAGGAATAGTAAAGAAAGCATGTTTGAGATCTAGAACAGAATAATGGATTGTGGAGGGAGGTATTGAGGATAGGAGAGTATATGGGTTTGGCACCATGGGGTGGATAGGCAAAACAATGTGGTTGATAAGGCGCAGATCCTGAACTAACTTGTAAGGCTTGTCTGGTTTTAGGACAGATAAAATGGGGGACTTGTAAGGAGAGTTTATAGGCTTTAAAAGGCCATGCTGTAGCAGGCGAGTGATAACAGGCTTTAATCTTTTTAAAGCTTGCTGCGGGATGGGATATTGGCATTGAGTGGGGTAAGGGTGATTAGGTTTTAATGAGATGGTAAGGGGTGCATGATCGGTTGCCAAGGAGGGAGTAGAGGTATCTTATACTTGTGGGTTAAGGTCGGGGGATACAAGAGGAGGATGCAAAGGAGGCTTTGGATTGGGAAGAAGGGCGGCAATGAGATACAGCTGTGGTCCAGGAATAGTCAGGGAAGCAAATAATTTAGTTAAAGTGTCTCAGCCTAATAAGGGAACTGGGCAGGTGGGGATAACTAAAAAGGAGTGCTTAAAAGAGTATTGTCTAAGTTGGCACCAGAGTTGGGGAGTTTTAAGAGGTTTAGAAGCCTGGCCGTCAATACCCACAACAGTTATGGAGGCAAGGGAAACAGGCCCTTGAAAAGAAGGTAATGTGGAGTGGGTAGCCTCCGTATTGATTAAGAAGGTGACGGGCTTACCTTCCACTGTGAGAGTTACCCGAAGCTCGGCGTCCGTGATGGTCTAGGGGGCTTCCGAGGCAATCGGGCAGTGTCAGTCTTCAGCTGCTAAGCCGAGAAGATCTGGGAAGGAGTCAGTCAGAGAGCCTTGGGCCAGAGTTCCAGGGGCGCTGGGAGTGGCTGCCAGGTGAGTTGAAGTCTGATTTTCGGTGGGTTCCCACACAGATGGGACACGGCTTAGGAGGAATCCTGGGCTGCGGGCATTCCTTGGCCCAGTGGCCAGATTTCCAGCATGTGTAGCAAGCTCCTGTGGGAGGACGTTCTGGAGGAACGCCTGGCCGCTGCGGTTCAGGCATTTGGAAGTTCTTGTGTGCTGGAGATGTGGCTGGGGTTTGTCTCACAGTGGAGGCAAGGAATTGCAACTTTTTTCTATTATTGTACACCTTGAAGGTGAGGTTAATTAAATCCTGTTGTGGGGTTTGGGGGCTGGAATTTAATTTTTGGAGTTTTATTTAATGTCAGGAGCAGATTGGCTAATAAAATGTGTTTTGAGAATAAGACGGCCTTTTCACCTTTTAGGGTCTAGGGCTGTAAAGTGTCTCAGGGTTGTTGCCAAACAAGTCATGAACTGGGCTGGATTTTTATATTTGATGAAAAAAAGCCTAAACGCTATCTGATTTGGGGTAAGGAAAAGGAGCATTAACCTTGACTATGCCTTTAGCTCCAGCCACCTTTTTAAGAGTAAATTGCTGGGCAGGAGCGGGAGGGCTAGTCACGGAACGAAACTGTAAGCCGGACCAGGTGTGAGGAGGGGAGGTGATAAAAAGATTATAGGGTGGAGGAGCAGAGGCTGAGGAAGAATTGGGACCTAGCTCGGCCTGGCGAGGAGCAGCCTGGGGAGGAGGGGAGAGGTCAGATGGGTCTGTAGAAAAGGAAGATTAGAAAGACTCAGCGACGCTTGGGGTTGGTACTGAGGGGACAGGCGGGAGGGAAAGAAGGAAGATTTGGGACGAGTTGCACTGGGCACAGAGACTAGGAAGGGACTGATGTGTAAAAGAATGCCTGGACGTCAGGCACCTCAGACCCTTTGCCTATTTTACGACAATAATTATTTAGATCTTGCAGGATGGAAAAATTCAAAGTGCCATTTTCTGGCTATTCGGAACTACTGTCGAGTTTGTATTGGGGTCAAGCGGCATTTCAGAAGAAAATAAGGCATTTAGGTTTTAGGTCAGTTGTGAGTTGAAAAGGTTTTAAGTTTTTGAGAACACAGGCCAAGGGAGTAGAAGGAGGAATGGAGGGTGGAAGGTTGCCCATAGTGAAGGAAGGAAGCCTAGAGAAAAGACAGAGTAGAGAAATGGAGGGAAGGGGTTTGGGGGTTCTTACCTTCCAGAAAAGTGGGAAAAGGGGTTGGGGCGCAGAGATAAGAGGTCGGGGTGTGGAAATAAGGGATGGGGTGCAGAAATAAGGGGTCAGGGCATGGAAATAAGGAGTTGGGGCATGGAAATAAGGGGTCAGGGCACGGAAATAAGGGATTGGGGTGCAGAGATAAGAGGTCAGGGTGCGGAAATAAGGGATTGGGGTGCAGAGATATAAGAGGTTGGGACATGGAAATAAGGGATTGGGGTGCAGAGATAAGAGGTCAGGGTGTGGAAATAAGGGATTGGGGTGCAGAGATATAAGAGGTTGGGGCATGGAAATAAGGGATTGGGGTGCAGAGATACGAGGTTGGGGTACTTGCCCCTCCTCTAGAAAAGTGGGACTTGCTGTTAAGAGTGAAGGAGAAGGGGTTGAGGGGTACTTTCCCCTCCCCCAGAAAAGCAGAGAAGGGGTAGAGACAAGGAGAGAAGGGGTTGTGGTACTTGCCCCTTCCCCAGAAAAGCGGGACTTGCCGCTAAGGGTGAAGGACCAAGGCAGGCGTCCTTGCGTGGTCTGATACCTTTGAAATATGGGTGAATAATCAGAGAGATGTCCCTGCAATGATTAAACACCAAGGGAAGGCTGCCTTCCCAGTCCGTGACCGGCGTCGGAGTTTTGGGTCCACGGAAAAAACGTGTCTCCTTCGTCTCTCCCAGAAAATGAAAGGAATTGAAATTAAGAGAAGGGAGAGATTGAAGAGTGGAAAGGAGAAAGTGGTTGAGGGACAGTGAGAGAGGTTGAAGAAGACAGTAAGAAGAGGCCGCTTACCTGATTTAAAATTGGTGAGATGTTCCTTGGGCTGGTCGGTCTGAGGACCTGAGGTCGTAGGTGGATCTTTCTCACGGAGCAAAGAACAGGAGGACAGGGGATTGATCTCCCAAGGGAGGTCCCCTGATCCGAGTCACGGCACCAAATTTCATGCGCGTCCATGTGAAGAGACCACCAAACAGGCTTTGTGTGAGCAACATGGCTGTTTATTTCACCTGGGTGCAGGCAGACTGGGTCTGAAAAGAGAGTCAGTGAAGGGAGATAGGGGTGGGGCCGTTTTATAGGATTTGGGTAGGTAAAGGAGAATTACAATCAAAGGGGGGTTCTCTGGCGGGCAGGAGTGGGGGTCACAAGGTGCTCAGTGGGGCTGCTTTTTGAGCCAGGATGAGCCAGGAAAAGGACTTTCACAAGGTAATGTCATCAGTTAAGGCAAGGACCAGCCATTTACACTTCTTTTGTGGTGGAATGTCATCAGTTAAGGTGGGGCAGGGCATATTCACTTCTTTTGTGATTCTTCAGTTACTTCAGGCCATCTGGGCGTATACGTGCAAGTCACAGGGGATGCGATGGCTTGGCTTGGGCTCAGAGGCCTGACAATTTTATTCCTCAAATTGTCCCAGCTTTGGCCATTGGGAGCTTGTTGCTTGGCTGTGTTAACTTGTCACATCTACATAACAGTGTGTGTGTTTCTGATTTTGTGTTGTTTTGTCCTAGTTCATTTGTGCTGCTATAAAAGAATATCACAGATTGGGTAATTTATAAATAGTAAACCTGTATTTCCTTATAGTTCTGATGGCTGCTAAGTTCAAGATCAAAGTGCTGAGAGGTTTGACTATCTCATGAGGGATTTTTCCAGGAGAGTGGAATGTCTTGTCCTCACATGGCAGAATAGCTGAAGAGCAAGCTAGTTGAATGGGAAGTGAAGCATATTTTACCAGTGCCTTAATCTCATTAAGAATGGTGTGGCCCTCATGGCCTAATCATCTCTTAGGGGTCCCACCTTTTAATAGTGTCATACTGACAACACCTGAATTTTGGAGGGGGCATGTTTAAATTATCATACTTACTTTCTGACATTATAGGATGGTCCAGGCTCATCTTATATATTTTCTGCTCTAGTCCTGGAAACATCCATTGATCCAAAGAATTCTGGTTTTTTTGTTTGTTTGTTTGCTTTTTGTTTTTGGGGTTTTTTTGTTTGTTTGTTTGTTTTGCATTGGAGAATAATATTAAAAACCAAGATATGGCTACTAGGTGTGTTTGTTGCAACTAAGATGTCATTGCTTCCAGGCTTTCCATATATATGAATAAAAATGCTTCTATATGTTACTGCATATGCTTTAGTCTGTTCTCTATGGTCATGACAGAATATGCCAGACTAGGTAATATATTAAAAAAGAGATTTATTTTTTACAGTTCTGGAGGCTGGGAAGTCCAAAAGTATGGCACCAGCATCTGGTGAGGGTCTTCTTGCTATGTCATAACATGGCACAGGGAATCCCATGGCAAGAGGGCAAGAGTGTGCATGTCAGCTCGTGTCTCTCTTCCATTTTTTTTATAAACTCACCAATCCTATCATAGGGTCCCCAACCTGATGACATTATCTATTTCTAATTAACTCCCAAATGTCTCACCTCCAATCAACATATACATTTGGGGATTAAGTTTTTAACACATGAAGTTTTGGGGACACGTTCAAACCATGGTAGTCTGTATCGTTCTTAAGCTAAAATGAGTTCATACTGACATGTACAACTTTAATTCATGACTGTATTGATTATTCTGGCTGCCTCTCTCTTGGTTATCTGTAAATTTTCATCCCGCTTACTTTATTGTTCCATTCCGACATACTGTTGTAGCAGTATCAGAATTGCTAAAATGTAACTCCGTGGGAAACAACTTTATCATCCAGGGTATAGTGCTTATGTGCAGTTTTGTTTGTCTTTAGTCTTACATACCTACAGTGCTTATTTCCCAAGTTACTGGAGCCAGGACCTTATCCCTCAACCTCCTCAGTGAACTTGTTTCATGTATTTGTAATACAGTTCATTCATTTTGTTACATTCTGCATTCCATTGTGGGATCCCCTGACCTCATAAATGATTTATCAGTTTTGCATACACTAAGGTTCACTCTTCGTGCTATAAAGTTCCATGCATTTTAACAAGAGCATAATGTCATGAATCTATCATTCAGTATCATGTAAAATAGTTTTACTATCTAAAAATTCTCCTGTGTTTCACCTATTTAACCATTTCCACTCTTCCAAAAACCCCTGGAAGGCACTGATCTTTTTTTTTCTTTACCATGCTCTAGTTCTGCCTTTTCCAGAATGTCACATAATTGGAATTGTACAGCATAAAGCCACTTCAGATTAGCTTTTTTCCCTTAACAATACACACTTAAGGCTCACTTATGTTTTTTCTTTTGCTTGATGGCTCAATTTTTCCATTGCTAGATAATATTCAGCATATAGATTTGCCATAGTTTGTTTACCCATTCACCTATTGAAGGACATCTTGGTTGCTTTCAGTGTTTTGTGATTATAAATAAAGCTACTATAAATATTCAGGTACAGGCATTTCGTTGGCACAAAGTTTCAAATCAATTTGGATAAATACCTAGAAATGTGATTGCTGTATCATATGTTAAAACTATGTTTAGCTTTGTTAAAAATTTCCAAACTGTCTACTAAAGCAGCTGTAACATTTACCATTTCAATCAGCAATGAGTGAGAGTTCCTGTTTCTCTGCATATTCTCCAACAACCAGCATAGTCAGTATTTTGAATTTTAGACATTCTAACAGGTTTGTAGTGGTATGACTAAAAGCCTATTAGATGACATTGTTATTTTAATTTTTAATTTCATAATGTCAGATGATGTTGAACATCTTTTTAAATGTTTATTTGCTATCTTTATATCTTCCTTAGTGATATGTTGGTTCATATATTTTGAACATATTTAAAAGATTTTTTATTTTATTATTCTTGTTTTAAGTGTTCTTCATATTTTTTAGATATAATCCTTTATCAGATATGTGTTTTGGAAACATTTTGTCTCAGCCTATGTCTTATCTTTTGATTCTCTTCACAGTGTCTTTCATAGACAAGAAATTAAAATTATTTTTAATTTTAAAATACACTCATTTAGTTTTTTCCCTTTTATGAATTACTCTTCTGGATTTGTATCTTAAAAAAATCACCGACTCAGTGTAACATAGATTTTTCTCCTATGTTTTTCTCTAGACATTTTGCAGTTTTGTATTGTACATTTAGGCAGATAATTATGATGATGATGATTTGATATAGACATTTAGTTGTTTCCACACTGTTTATTTAAAAGACAACCCTTTCTTTATTAAATTGCCATTGTTATTTGCCAAAGATTAGTAACTATATTTATGTCATTCTATTTCCACACTCTATTATTTTCTATCAATCTATGTTTTTGTTTGTTTGCTTTCCAACACCATGCTGTCTTGATTACTGTAGTGTCATGTCTTGACATCAGGTTGTATCATTCTTTCAACTTTGTTCTTCTTGAATGTTTTTAGGTATTTTGGGTCTTTTGTTTTATCACATAAGCTTTAGACTCAATTTGTAAATATCTACAAAATAGCTTGCTGGAATTTTAATTGCAATTACGTTGAATCTAAAAATCAGGATGGTAAAAATGGACTTTTAAACAATATTGAGTTTTTCAATCCATAAACACAGAATATGTCTCCTTTTATTCATGTTTGATTTTTTTTTTGGTTTTTTACATATATAATCTGTACTTAATTTCACATTCCCATTGCTAATTTTTCATATGTTGAAAAGTGATAAACCCTATATTAACCTAGTGTCTTACACCCTTGCTAGAATCACTTATTAATTCCAGGAGTTTATATTTCAATTATTTGGGATTTCTACATGACAGTCATGTCAGTTGTGAATATACAGAATTTTATTTATGTATTACCGGTCTATGTATCTTTTATTTCCTTTATCTCTAGGACTTCCAATTCAATGTTGAGTGGGAATGATGAGAGGAGGCAACATGAACATTTTTGACTTGTACCTGATCTTAGGGGTAAAGTACTCAACTTGTCACCATTAAGTATGTTAGTTATAGGCTTTTTGTAGATATTCTTCAAGAATTTAAGCTTGCTTTATACCTATTTTTCTGAAAAAAATTTAATGTAGATGAGTGTAGCATTATATCAAATGCTTTTCCTGAATTTTTGCATTAATTTATATAATTACATATTTTTTGTTTGGTCTGTTAATATGCTAGATTACATGAATTGATTTTTGAATATTAAATTAGCTTTGCATACCTAGTATACATGCCACTTGAGCAAGGTATACATTACTTTTTACACATTTTTAGTTTCAATTTGCCAATATATTTTGAGGGCATTTTGCATATAATCTCATGGAATATATTGGCCTGTAGTTGACCTTTCTTGTAATGTTTTTGTTTGGTTTTGGTATTAAGGTAATGCTCCTTTTACAGAGGGAGTTAAGAAGTATTGCCTCTGCTTCTGTTGCTAAGGGAGTACATGAAAAAGAATCATCTATAACGTTCAATAAATCTAGAAAGAGCAAGTCAGGAGAAATATTATATTTCTTAAGTTTTCTTTTCTTTACATTTTAGTTTGGGAAGTTTCTATTGACTTATCTTCAAGCTCTTCAGTATCAGATTTTTTTCCCTGAGATGAATCCAGTTTACTGAGGACCCTATCGGTGCTGTTCTTCCTTTTAGTTACGATGTTTTTATTTCTAAATAAATGTTTTTTTATTCTTTCTTAGAATTTCCGTTTATCTGCTTATATCACCCATTTCTTCTTCTATGTTGTCCACTTTTTAAATTAGAATCCTTAGTACATGAGTTACTTTAAATTCCGTGTGACAATTTGAAAATCTCAGTCAACTTTTGTAGCTTGCTTTGTCTTTTCAGACTGTTTTTTCTTGCATTTTACCAGGCCTTGTATTTTGTTGTGATTGTTGTTCAAAGGCAGATGTGATATATCAGGTAGTAATAGAAACTGAGGTAAACACCCTTTTATTTACGTACTTATTTTAATTTTTTTTTTAAGAGATGAAGATCTCCCTGTGTTGCCCAGGCTGGTCTTGAACTCCTGGCCTCAAACAATCCTCTTGCCTCAGCCTCTCTCGTAGTTGGAATTACAGGCAGGAATCAAAATGTTCGGCTAAATAGGTTTTTAGTGTGAGGTTTTATGTTAATCTGGCTAGGAGTAAGGCTGTATTTAATGTTTGTTGTATCTGTAGGTGCCAGAGGGCCCAAATTCCTTTAGTGCCCTTGTTTTCATCTCTTTTGTTGAAACTGAGCTTCCCCTAAGACCTCCTCCTTAAACAGTCTGTGACTTTTAGTTCTTTGAACTGTAATCCACTGTTATCATACTGGAGCCCTGTTGCTGCCATGGTAAGGTTCCAGGAAGGGGAAATGTTCTATAATCATAGAATCACTAATCTTATGAGTAAATCTCAAGCTTTTAGTGCACCTGAGTCCTTGGACTGTGACCTTCACAAGTGTTTCTTAGTTTTCATTTCCCCGTGTTTGGCAAAACAGTGAGCCCAAAGAGATCTGGAGTGAAGAAATGCCCTTCCCTGACTGGACCAAGGCTCTGGGATAGTTTTTGTTTGGGTAGTTGGCCTTTGTCATGTAGAATACTCTGTACTTCACAGATGGTGCTCTTCCCCCTAGAGAGGAGCAGGCTCTTCTTCGTAGGACCTTTCTGAAGAGAAAACGGTGCAGTGCCTGTAGGTAAAACCCATGCAAAGTGAGGGATCCCCTAAAACCGCAACTCCCCCTGCTGTCATATCTCAGCCTCCTGCTTTGACACACGTAGCCTCCAGCAATTCATTAAAATAACCAGTTAGAGTTTTTACTAGTTTATGGCTCCAACAACTTCTGCTCCAGGTAAATTAATCTCAGCTGTGATTCTCTGTATTTACTTTTCTTTTGAGAGTTCAGGATGGTGATTTGCAACCTCAATTCTCTGAAGAATACAAAAAAAGTTGATTTTTCAGTTTGTTCAGCATTTTTCTTTATTATTGTAAGGATGAGAGTACTGACTTCCAATCTCTTTACATATGAGAACTGTGATGGGAATGTCTTATTCTTTTCTAAGTGCTTTATCATTTCCCTGTGCTTTGCAGCAAGAAGTTTTTATTAAAAATTTATTTAAAAATAAAAAATAAAAATAAAAAAATAAAAATAGTTGTGTCAATAAAACATTAAGTAATAACTTGAAAACCATTTTTCATGTCAGTGGCATTAGTTTAATGTACATTCAGAAATAATTGTAAATGGTGGCTTTGCTAAATCCCAAGCTGTCTTTTAAGAAGGTACGTTTTATGACAATCATCTTGCCTGAAAATGTAAAGGATTTAGTTATAAGACAGGGAGATAAAACTACAAAATGGGTTATTTCCATCTCTCTACTAAATGCATTCTTCTAAGATTTGAGGATCAACTGTGTGCCAGGAGCTGACTAAATGTTTTTTTGTGTGTGGTGGTGGTGGTGGTGTTGTTTTTGAGATGGAGTCTCTTGCTCTGTCGCCCCAGCTGGAGTACAGGGGCACGATCTCGGCTCATTGCAACCTCCACCTCCTAGGTTCAAGCAATTCTCCTGCTTCAGCCTGTCGAGTAGCTGGGACTACAGGCTTGCTCCACGGCTGATTTCAACCCATGACCTGATGTTGCCCTTTCCTTTTTGCAGCTTCAACATTGCAGCTAAGCAACATTCCTTCCTTGTAAGAGAACAGGACCATGAAGTGTATCTGTTCAGTTTACGGAGGCTGTGCATTGAGTGTCTTCGTGCCCTCTGCTTCACCTTTCGATGTATAACAGCCTAACTGAAATATAAGGAAATGTTATGTCTCCACCCCAAAGTGAACGTAGACGTACGTAAGATACATGTTAGCTTAGTATGCATGTGTGCAGCACATTTGTGGCTATTCATAGCTCCTCCTATAACCTGTTGAATATGTATACTTAGCCAACCCATGCAGCACAAATTCCTGTCTTATCCTTTCCTCCCTCAAAACACCTGCTTCTCATTTTCAGCCACGAGCTATGCTTCTTGCCTGCAGGTTGCTCTACCCGACTTTAGAATTAAAGCTCTCTTTTCTAAATGTACAGATTTTGTGACTTTTTCTGGTGACAATAACAAGAACTAGAAAGAGATGTATCATTTAGGGTTTCATATGCCAGGCAACTGAGTTTGGAAGGGATTGACACAGCTTTGTTTAATTGTATCAAATTTTATTTTTAGAAACCTGTACTCTTCCAAATACAGATCCAAATCTGAAGCTTAAGAAAAAACAAAGCAAAATATTCACACTTAACACTATAAATTTTCAGAAGGAGCTTATGTATAAGCACAGGACTATACAATCAGATATTGATGGACTGAGTATTGATCAATTCTTACTGCTATTTCTTATTCTTTGTATTACATCGTATTGAATGCAGGTGTATTTAATAGAATCTTCTTTATTTAAGAGGCAACAGGATACTTTATCATAATTTAATTGACTGATGTATTGAGAATTTTAATATTATTCTATTTGTTAATATTCCAAACATGAATCAAAAGGCCTATTACTCTCAGATTAAGATATTTGGATAATTAATGTTCAGATATGTGTTTATGAAGTATTGAGCTTTTGAAGAGGAACACGGGTAATTATCACTATTAATTTTGCTCTAAATTATATTTCAACTTGTACAATTGTTACAAGCACGGGTTCTGGCAAATATAAGCTCTTTAAGGAAAACATATTTAGAGTATCACATTTTCTTCGGCTAATAAAATTATGGTCAGTCAGTCACAAACATTTTTGATATGTTGATTTTAAAAGATACAGCAAAATATCTGGTATAATAGTGTTTTTTTAAAATGAGGAAATAAATGATTACAGAAAAGAATAAAATGCAGAAATACTCTAAGATGAGTGTCTAATTACTCCAGAATCTCACTGCTCTGATTTCTAATTTCTGCTATAAACGCCCACACAGGAATGTTGGTAAAGTCTTAGTAAAAAGAAAAATAAAACTAATATCTATTCCTAATGTTGTATATTAAGCCCTAATATTGTTGTCTACTCTTTCACTGAGCAATGTACTCATCTTTTAATCCCCTAGCATCTATAACTTCAGCCACAAATTTCTTATTTTAAAATGGCTTTATAGTCTTAAGGCTGAGGCTATATTTGAAATGAACAGAAGTATAGAGATTGAAATTCCGCAGTGCAATTTTATAACTTTACAAATAAAGATATTATTTGAGATACTGAGAATTTTAATATTCTCTGAGGCTTAAGAAAAAGAAATAAAGCAAAATATTTACACACTATTAATTTTCAGAAGGGGCTTATCTATAAACACAGGACTATACATTTAGATATTGATGGACTGAGTAGTGATCAATTCTTACTGATATTTCTTATTCTTTGTCTTAAATTGTATTGAATGCAGGTATATTTAATAGAATCTTCCTTATTTAAAAGGCATCAAGGTTAAGCGAAGCTTTATGGCTAAGGGCACAGCCTAAGACTAGAGGAATATCGTCTGAGGCCAAGCTGTTTTCCACCTCTTAACAGATACGTAATCTTTACTGAACTTCACTGAACGTTTGTTTTCTCATTTGTAAAACTGATAATCAAAAACTAACTTCTGGAGCTGCTGTAAATATTACCCTGAGAAAAATAATTAAAACAGTAATGAAAACGTCTCAACACAGCACATGCCCCTCTTTGCAAGATCAATATGAGTTATTCTTATTATTACTATTCAGTTAGTGACACGGAAACCCACGGGTGTTTGGTTCTTCTGTTGCAATGGTTTTCAAATGGGGTTGATCTTATACCTCAGAGGACATCTGGCAATGCCTGGAGACATTTTTGGCTGTCACAGCTGGGAGAATAGGGTGCTACTGGCATCTAGTGGGTAGAGGCCAGGGGTGCTGATAAACGTCCTGCAATGCACAGGACCAACAAAAAAATTCTCAGGTCTATATTGGCAATAATGATGAGGCTGAAAAATCCTGTTCTTTGGCACTAAGCTTCATTACCTTAAGAATAAATGTTATCTCTTAATAATCTTTAAATTCTTACTATTGATCACAAGGAATAGGCTTCTTAAGGAAACACATTTCATTCTTTTCTGTAATCACTTTATTTCCTCATTTAAAAAACACTCTTTATTAAACTAGGCATCATGATGCACGCTGGAGGTTCAAAGATCAAATAAATGAAGTTTGCCCTTAGTAAGATCATAGAACGTTAATTTATAGAGGGAAACACATAATTGCCCCGCACAGAGATGCATAAATCATGATGACAGAGATGTTGCTTATGATGGTGGCAGGAGTGGGGGTACTTAAAGATGTTGCTGGAGAGATGGGATGGAGCGTGTCATGCATGGTCTGTTCCCACTAAAACATCTGTGCACTTCACCTTCTAAATCAGGGGACAGGGCTGAAAGGTTTGAAGTGGGAGATACCATGACTCAATGTGTGCTTTATAAAGCTTTTCTGGTGTTAGTATAGACAAGAGATGAAAAATGTAAAAGAAGAAATACACAAACCAAACAGGATAAAATTTAAAAGTGCAAACTAGAGATTGTGAAATTCCAAGTTTGACCAGCGACAGGTTCAAGGGGAGAAAGTTGTGAATAGGGTTTTGCACGAATACTCGATGAATGAGTAGCTGAAGAAGAGAAGGAAGGAGTCCTGTGAGAAACCTAGATTGCTGTGTCAGAGACTGGACTGATACATGTGGAAAGAAAAAGGTGGGGAGAAAGGATAATGGGTTTAGTTTGGACATTCTGAGCTGTGAGGCTGATGTTCACAGAATCTGGGAGAGGGATTGCTTGAAGCAAAAAGAATAAAAGTCACCAAAATACGTATTTAGTTATTGGGACTAGGGGCTGGGCATGGTGGCTCACGCCTGTTACCCCAGCATTTTGGAAGGCTGAGGCAGGCGGATCACCGGAGGTCAGGAGTTCAAGACCTTCCTGGCCAACATGGTGAAACCTCATCTCTACTAAAAATACAAAAAAATTAACCAGGCACGGTAGCGGGCTCCTGTAATCCCAGCTACTTGGGAGGCTGAGGCAGGAGAATAACTTGAACCGGGGAGGTGAAGGTTGCAGTGACCCGAGACTGCACCACTGCACTCCAGCCTGGGAAACAAGAAAGAAACTCCATCTCAAATACATACATATATATATATATATATATATATATATATATATATATATATATATATATGTATATATAGATAGATAGACAGACAGATAGATAGATAGATATTATTGGGACTGGGAAGCCAATGCAATAAAAAATTGAGTCTCAGTGGGTTTTTGTCGACTCACTTTGGGGTGCGATGCTGGTAGAAATGTGGATGTCCTTCAGGTTTTATATGGATCCGGAACCACATGTGAGAAAAGCCTGGGTTGGATATGGACTGGGTGCATATAAGCACCCAGGAGAAAGTGGCAGCAGGGGAGGAGGCTAGCAGAACGCTTTTTTGTTTGTTTTTAAATTATCTGAGCCCATTCCAAATGTCACAGGTAAATATGAATACATAACTCATTAATTGTTAGCAATAAATGAGTTTGTAAGGATGTATTTTCAGTAACATTAGCATCTCTATTATACTATTGTGCCCTGAATTCACAATTCACAGCTATACTTTCCATCTTATTCATGTAATTATACCAAGTATGGTATTGCATACAATTATTGTTCTTTACATATTTATTGATAAAAACTAAATTAGTAATTTTACAAAGGAGAATTTCTCAAGTCACATTTGACTGATTTGCTCAAGTTTAAATTACATATATACATATATGTACAATATCTATATACCCATAAAATACATATACATGCATTTATATGTATATGTATTTACACACCCATAATACTTGCAGTACACAAACACAGGCACACAGACCTGTTTTTTTGAGATAATTTTAAATTCAAAAGAATGCATAATTGGCCAAGTATTGTCAAATGAAACCATGCTTATTTTAAAGTGAAAGATATAAAGAAATAACTGACACTGTAGATGACAAAGAGAGTCCTTTGGCCGTCCCTCTACACTCTGATACCTGCTATTCGGGTAGCTATGTGCCTACTTAACAAGTGATTGTTTTGTTTTCATGGGTGTGACATCTGCTCGGTAGTACTGGTAAGGCCATTGCTTCTCAGCCTGGAGCATCTCTGGCTCCTGAGGGCTGCTCATATTCACATCGCCAGACCTGCAGGAGTAGCCTCGCGTCTCCTGAGGCTTCAAAGGACTCAGGCCCTGCTCACTGCCCATGATGAGAAAACTCCAGAAAGTGGACAGCAAAACAGTGCAAGGCAAAAGGCAAATACCTATTTTCCAATAATCATTTGGAAAATGTCATAGTTTGGGATGTGAAGCCCAGAGAATTAGATTTTGGGCTGAGGCTGCTATTTGGTGCCCATATTCCCGGGCCAAGTCCTGTCATTCCCCTGAGCTTCGGTTTTCTTACCTGTAGAAAGGAGACAGTAACGCTTGTCTTGCTTCCCTCAAAGGCTCATGAAGAGGGATGGCTGGGATCCTGGAGAGTTAGAAGGGGCTCCATATACATAAATCTGGATGAGCTAAACCAACTTGAGCCCTGTCACTGCTGTCAGGAAAGGAAGGTGCGCTCTGGAGCTGGACCCCATGGCTTCCTCTCTGCTCAGACACCTGGGCAAGCAAGTTATGGAGTTTCACTGTGCCTCAGTTTCCCTGTGGGGGAACTCCCTGTGGGAGAGCACTTTTACTTGTCTGACATTCCTGCTGTGGACTTTATCAAGGTTGGAAATGTAAAGCCTTTACATCCAGGGCTGGCACGGAGTGAGCTTTCAGGATTAATTAGCGTGACTTTGATTCAGAGCAGGCTGCAACTGAAAATGAGATTTTTTTTTTCCTTGGAGCCAATTTGAATTTTACTTGAAGAGATCACAACACTGAACACAAATGAGTCTTTCACTGCTTCTTCTCTCCAGGCCTCTGCGTGCCTGTTCTGAAGCTCAAGCTTGCCTGGTTTCAGTGCCCCTTGAAATATGAAGGAAGCTCTGTGCTGAGAGGACACTTGGTTCTCAGGTGAAGGTCTAAGAAGAAAGGACGGTTTTTACTCCCCAGAAACTCACATTCTTTGGAGGAAATTGGAGAAACACACTTAGGACGCCCCAGGAACATTTCCACATTTTTAAGGTCAAGTAACAGAAGTTAAAAAGGAAGTAGATAGACACCATTGTTTTCTGACCTTTCCTGACATGGCATATCCGTCTAACATACATCTCTTTACAAAAGTGGAGTAGTTATTTGCAGCGGAGATTTAACAACCCTCGATCTTTATTGACTTATATCTTTTCTTGTGCAGCAGACTATAACCTTGTCTACCTACCCAAGTTACCTGTTTATTAAAAAAAAAAAAAAAAAAAAAAACTCAGATTTGGGGGTTTAGGACAAAACAGGTGGGCCTCAAATCTATTTACAAATTAAAAGATGGTATTGATTTAAGGCTCCAGATTTTCACTCTCACACTCAGGGCTTCATAACAGTCTTCTAAAGTTGTACCCTACTCATGCTTTCTTTGCTAAGGTTAATAATTAACAAGTCAACCAAAAGGGGCACCTATGCCCAAAAGGTCACTGGACAGTGACAAGACAGGAAGAGCTGCCCCACGTACAGGCTGTCTTACACCTGTGACTCCTGGCCGGGCGCGGTGGCTCACGCCTGGAATCCCAGCACTTTGGGAAGCTGAGGTGGTCAGATCACTTGAGGTCAGGAGTTCCAGACCAGCCTGGCCAACATGGTGAAACCCTGTCTCTACTTAAAATACAAAAATTAGCTGGGTGAGGTGGCAGGTGCCTGTAATCCCAGCTACTTAGGAGGCTGAGGCAGGAGAATCACTTGAACCCAGGAGATGGAGGTTGCAGCGGATAGAGACAGACTCTGTCCAAAATAAATTAAAAAAAAAAAGGAAAGAAAGAAAGACCTGCAACTCCAGCTGCAAAAATCCCTCATGATTCCCTTTGGTTCCCTTTGATTTGCTTATATGCTCTTAGCCTGGTGTGCATGTGGACCTGATGATTGTGAGTGTCTGTGCACATTTTCCTGTGAGGAAAATGAATACTCTACATTTCCTATGGTTACAAAGATCTGCTCAAGCAAGTTAACACAATTAATTATGCAATGTGAAAAATTTCTATCCCATAATTCGTATTTATCAGCACACAAGGTTTGACATAATTTTGGAAATATTTTGGAGGAAAATATTATACAACTGCATTGTAAGCTATAGAATAAATATGTATTAAACACCCACTATATATTTGTGTAGACAAATTTTTTTTTGAGACCGAGTGTCCCTCTGTCACCCAGGCTGGAGTGCAGTGGCACGATCTTGGCTCATTGCAACCTCCGCCTGCCAGGTTCATGCCATTCCTCTGCCTCAGCCTCCCAAGTAGCTGAGACTACAGGCACCCACCACCACGCCTGGCTAATTCTTTTTGTATTTTTAGTAGAGAGGGGGTTTCACTGTGTTAGCCAGGATGGTCTCGATCTCCTGACCTCGTGATCTGTCCGCCTTGGCCTCCCAAAGTGCTGGGATTACAGGCGTGAGCCACCACGCCTGGCCTGTGTATCCACATTTTTATTTATGTACAGACACATATACACATTCTAATTTTACCTGCTTTTAGTTTTTGTAATTTATTTACAATTGTTTATGCATTGGAGAAAAGTCATATATATTTGAGAATATTTAAATTCATCAAGACTATTAAATTAATATGAATACACTTGAATAGTATATTATCTTTTGCTGATATATATGCATATTTTACAATTTATATTGTATATACATGAACAAGTTCTATAAGAACACAATTATGTGCATTCACACATCATTTGTTCAAAAGCTCAGGAGAATGTTATCTATCAGATAAGTGAGTTTTTCAGATCATTGAACCTTACTATTTCAAGCACAAGCATTTAATTTTTAATATCTGCAAGGAAATTTTCCGTAGGTCACTCCCTTGAGTTCTTGGGAAAATACTACTGAGCATAATAATAACAGTGAAGAAAATAAAACAGAAAATATTACCGTAGATTGAGCATCTATTATAGCACTCACTTTGCACCTGCTTATGTCAGGAAATCCTTGAGACTTAGTAAACCGGGTCCTCTCATTCAGATATAAGTATCGAACAAAGTGGGACTTGGAGAATTTTGGTAACAAGATTCAGTTATAAAACCAAGAAGTAGAATTAGGATTTAAAGCTGTGTCTTTCTTGCTCAAAATTTCATTGTCTTTCTCATGCATTTTCTTCCCTTGAGTACCTTACCATACCAGCATTTATGGTTGTCTGCAGGCTCTGACACCTATAGATAGTTTTTGTTTTCTAGTTTTTCTGGGGCTTCCTCTGATGTTGAAGTCTCCATGTTGTCTTCTACTGCACATGACTTTCTCTTCTGGTTCTGCCAGTTCTCCTCAATTTTGTTTCTTGTAAAGTGCTCTGTGCTGGTTAATCAGAAAAGTGGGTTTGATAAAAACTATTGGTTAAAGCTTATTTGGTAATTAGAGGTATGTATTCCCCTTTTTTCTTATAAAAAATATATATTTGTGTCAGTTTCTGTTTTCCTAGCAATAAGGGTACTGGACAGAACGACTTTAAAGCAACCAAGGTTTTGCGGTGTGTACATATTCACTTGCTAGTCACATTTTACTATAAAGAAATATTTAAAAGGAAATGCAAATCAACAACGATGCCAAAATCTCAATAAAACGCACGTTGAGAAACATTTAATAAATACTGTCGGTCAGTTTGAGTTCTTCCAAAATATGTTCCGTTAACAGCTGCTTTGCAAATTGTTTCAGACCTTTAAGAAAGAAAGCATGTTAATAAAGAGCAGGGGGTCACCTCCTTCCCCATCCTATTCTATGGGAGATTTGTGCATACTTCTACAGATCATATAAAGGTTTTATCTCCGTGTTTCTAAAACTGGTTTGGCTTTTTCTAAACTGTATGAGAAGAAAATCAGATCTCTAGTTTCTTTGTAGCATATAATTGTAACAAGATAGTCAAAGAAAAGAGAAAGCTTAGAGAAAGAAAAGTCATTTCTTAAAGTTTGAGGATTTAGTAGATTATGAAAGAAAACTAGCTCAGGTTCAAAGGGTTACTAGAAAATCTAACAGGCCCTGCCAGCAGAACTTTTGTGGTGCTATTAATATATAGACTTCAATGGGCAGTGTGAAATGTAAAATAAGATTTTTAAAGCTCAGTGATGAAAAGGACATGGATCATCCACAAAACTCACTTTAATTAAAGGTGGAATTTTGGTGGACGGTGAGAGAGTTGAGCATGTGGAGGAATTTACAGGTTCAATGTGGTGACACCAAAGTCTCATGTTTTCTCTCTCAAAGAATTTCATATTTTGAAGATAAGCATTGTAGTCCATGAATAATATATGACAATATAGACACATTGCTTCTTTTTAATCTTTTTACTGATTATGAAATTCCTTTTTTCATCAAAATTTATTATGACCAAAGAAGTAAAATTTTACAAGTAAGTGAAAAAAGTAGTTTTACCCAATTACAAGCGAACGTCTCCCTAGTATCTAATTCCACATGTATTTATTTTCTTCACCGCCTCTGAAAGAAATTCCAACATTATTTTCCAGAACATAAAGTAGAGAAACAGAATTACTTTGTGTGCGCATGTGTGTGCGCGTGCTCACGTGTGTGTTTTGGCTTTATCTCTGTTCTTCAGGGACTCCAGGTCTCTTCAACTTCCTCCAGCACAAGCTCCAGATGCCCCTGAGGCTGTCAGGAGGCAGCATTCATAGGAACTTTGGGCCTTATTACGGTATCAAACTGTCTTGCATCCTCTTCCCTGACCCGCTGCTGTGGGGCTATTTGCCAAGGCCACCAAGGAGATGTGTTCTGTCAGGCCCCTCAGTGAGAGGTACTGACCTCCTGCAAAAAACCGGGCGTCCCCCGCCCAAGGAAGAATTTTGTCAGTGGCCCTGCCCTATCCCTTCCTCTTCCCCTGCAGGGCGAACGTGAGCGGGAGACCTCCCGTTTGTACCGCACTGTCCCTTCTGGCCTCCCCCTCTCCTTCCCACTCCCCACGTCGTCTACCACTGCTCCTCTTGCTTCACAGGTAACAAAGCCAGCCAGGTGTCCCATGTCCCAGATATTGTGCACTAAGGAGCTCAACAGCTTTCTCTTGGACTTGCTCTTCGTTGAAGACCTCTTGCATGAGAACACAGCTATTGATCATGGAGTCCAGAACAAAGGAAATCTTAGTGTGAGTGGCATTGTCCTAGTACTCAGGATCCGTCTCTGTACTTCTGGATTTTTGAGCCAAATGTTTGTGGTTTTCTCTTTTCTTGCTAGGTTATTCGTGTAAATATGTGGCTGTGTAGTGGGTTATTCACAAAATATGCGATTCACACTTGCTGTCCACATATGCCCTAAATGAACCACTAACACGTTTTATCCAGGCAGTCCTCAGTCCTAAAGCTCACCTTCTCTAACTTTACAAATGCAGTTTCGTTTTTCTTATACATTTTGTAGAAAAGCTAAAGACCATGAGCAGCATACTGCTTGGAACAATGTTTAAGGGTCCAGTAGGAAGATCAGTCTGACTGAGGTGAATTGAAGCTTGGCCTCTTAAGCAAAGAAGAGAACTGTGGGTGCCAAGGACCCAGGTGGGGTTTCCAAGAAATAGGGAGGTTTCTCGTCAACATGCGTAAAATTTTAATTATGCAACATGAATAAGTTCTAGAGATGTGATGTACCACATTGAGCCTATAGATAACATGATGATATTGCACATTTAAAAATATGTTAAGAGAGAGAATTAATATTAAATTTTCTTGCCGAAATAAAAAATAAAATAAACTAGAAAATAAGTAAATAATTAAATAATTCTTGCCTCTTACAACTAACTTTGGACAAATGTCCTACCCTGGTAAAGCCAGGGCATTTGCCTGGCTGAAGATGCATTTTAGGGCTGAGGACTTCCCAGATGAAATGCATGAGTGGCTCAGTTAGGGCATATGTGGACAGCCAGTGTGTATCGCATATTTTGTGAATAACCCACTACACAGACACATATTTACACGAATAAGCTACGACCTGCTGTGAAATTATTCATTTTACATGAAGAAAGACAACCATAAACATTTGGCTCAAAAATCCAGGGGTACAAGGAGAGATCCTGAGTATTAGGACAATCACACTCACAGGCATTTCCCTGGCTTTACCAGGGCAGGACACTTGTCCAAAGCCTCTGCCTGTTCCCATTTTCTAGATATTCCATAAAAAGAGTTACTGTCCGATACATAATTAATACTAATAAGTTTATTAATACTGTTAAGAATGTGGCCGAAGTCCAGATTGACGAAGTTAAATCTGCAATGAATGAAGATATCAAAATCATTTCCATAGCACTAATTTTGTGGATGATAACCTTGAAAGCCCCTGGAAAGTAGATGTCTTGTGGCCCGGATGACTTACAGAGAATGAGCTGAGACAGTTTCAGACTCCAAGGAGAAGGTTAGCCCTGTGGTCAAGGAAGGGTAGGTGAAAGTTTTATAGGAATTAACAGTAGAGCCTGGAATCAAGGGATTGTTTACTTTATTTCTTTGATGACACATCATTCTAGCACTAGATCTTTAATTATATGTTTAGCAAATATATACGATCTTTCATGTATTTTTTTAAATTAAAAGATGTTAATTTGTTGACTTTAATATCAACGTAAGACTTTGTCCTTCTTAGTGAATGCCTCTTCCTCAGCCTGTTCAAATATAGTTTTCTCCTCTCCAGTTAACTGGTTGTTGAAAATGTGTTTCTTTCGCATCAGTGATTCAGGAGATAAACATTTAGGTTCACATAAGGAAACTATCCTAAATCTCTGACATTTTCAGCTCTTGAGTTGCCCAGGAATTAGAGTCCTGTGATGATTATTTAGTGTCTTATTGACCATGCTGAACATAATATCATTTAATTGGCTCCGAAAACATTTCAGTTTATAAAATTTAGCATCTATGAGAATTAAGCAGTATTCTGCCTCAAAGACTGCTTGTGGGTGATTCTCCAAGTTCCATTTGACTCTCCTGAGGGGTTCCTTAGAGCTTTTAGTTTTTATTCATGCAAACCAGTTGTCTGCTCTAATTAATTAAGGAATTTGAAGACAAAGCTCAAGAAACAAACTCGATTTGGATTTTGAGATAGAAAAATACTATATCTCCAATATTTTTGAAAATACAATGTGAACTTCATATACATATTATAGATTTCAACCTAAAAGTATTGATTGCTCAATTATAAGAATCTAAATTAATAGGAAAATCACTATTTAAATATATTGGACTTCCAGATATTTGGTGTAGTTTTAATTATATATAGGTTACCTAAGCCTATTTTGTGTGTGTACTTCCACCAAATTCCATATCCTTCAAGTGGCATGTGTAATATCGAGCAGAGTTCTTATAATGCCTTATTTATCTCATCTGCAGACCTGAGGATAAGATGCTATACTATGAGCTCTAAGCTCATGGATGCTGGCAGTCAAGCCCTGGTTATTCTATTTCTATTTTAAGGCCATGAAAAAAACTTAACTTCTTTTTCCTTCAGTTTTTTTTTCCTGAGATGAGTTTTAATTATCCTAAAGTGACATAATAAAAGCATATACCTCGCAGGGTTGCTGTGGAAACAAAACAAGGTGATACTTTCTGACTATTTGCATTGTCTAGCAAACAATTATGATCTTACAAAATGTTAGTTTTCATCATGGTCATTATCATCACTTTCTTTTTCTAACATTCTTTGACTTTAGTTTAGGAAAATCAATTTTATTATTTGCTGTGACTATTTTATAAACTAAGTTTGTTCAGATTTTCCCAACTTTTATTATAGTTAAATATTTTTATTTTAAAAATTAGAATGAGAAGTGAAAATCAAACAAATGTTGACTTGAATATTTTATTAAGTGCTTTGAACTTGGGAGACACATATAAGCTATTGGATATAGCTGGAATGTAGCTATGATTCTTAGTCTATGATTCTTGCTGTCTATTTGATCCATGAAATGTTGACATAAATTACACTGTCTATACAGCATGCTTGACAGAAGTAGGAAGGAAAAAGTGGTTCTCTGAATGGCTTCTATTTTGATTTAATTATTTTTGTATTAGAAAGCAAGTTTATCCTTAATAACTGATGATTTAAAGTGTCACTCTCATTTTGCTATGAATTCTTAGAGTTTCCATTTATTACAGGTTACTCAACATATGAGATTATTGAGCAATATTTCCACGTATTCTTATTAGTATTGAAAGAGCTGTTCTAATCTAAATATTCTGATTTTTGGAGAGTTCAAGGCTTCACATTACTGCAAGGGCTAATGACAGGTCTATCTAAACAAACTTGAAAAAGTCAGAATTTCTCATGTCATAAATATTGTTGGACCAAAATTGAGTTAGAAAATAAATAAGTTAGTACTAATTTGTACACACACACACATTTTAGATAGAGTCCAGTTTTCATGTAGGAGAAGTCATAAAGTAAATACAGAATAAATGGAATGAATATTACTACATTCTTGTCATGGAAAAGCAAAGCTCAAATAGGATAGCAAAATACACAAAAAGGGTCATCGATATCTAATTATGAAATATTTAGAAGTTATTTCTTTAAAATTATAAGCAAAGTAAAGGACAACTAACTAGCATATATTTGCCAGAAAATAAAAGAGAAAAAGCTGTAAAAGAAATAGCATGTAACACACCATGGAGACTAACACACACGGTAGCCCCGATTTAGGAATGAAAGAAATAAAAAAGACAGGAGCTATTTACAGAACAAAAAATTCACATAGGCAATTAACCCTGCCTCCTTTATTTCCATTTTATTTGCTATTGTGTCTTGACACAAACCATCTTCACCTCCGTTCCCCATCCACCAGCCCCAGAGCTCAAAATGCGCTGATCCTACTATTTTTCCACTGTCCCTAATCCTCCTCACATCTACGTTCCCTCCCTTCCCCACCCTGGCCTGCAGTCATACAGCTGACAGTGTTTGGAGCTCTGTAGCAGACTAACCTTCAGCAACATTCCACATGAGTGATTACTCCTGTGTTACCCGCTGAGACTGGGCCACCGTACTAGTAGTTTTTACACTGCTATAAAGAAATGCCCAAGACTGGGTAATTTACAATGAAGAAAAGCTTAATTGACTCACAGTTCTGCATGGCTGGGGAAGCCTCAGGAAACTTACAATCATGGCAGAGGGGGAAGCAGGCTCATCTTACATGGTGGCAGGTGAGAGAGAGCAAAATAGAGGACCTGCCAAACACTTATCAAACCATCAGGTCTCGTGAGGACTCATTAAGTATGACGAGAACAGCATGGGGAAAACCATCCCCAGGATCCAATCACCTCCCTCCCTCCACACGTGGGGATTACAGGCCCCTCCTTGGACATGTGGGGATTACAATTCGAGATGCACTTTGGGTGGGGACACAGAGCCAAAGCATATCATCTACCCTGTCACTCTCCCACCCTCCTAACTTCCACTAGTGTTTTCAGCCCCAGAATCCCCTCCAGCTCCTCCTTATCAGTTGATAACCCTTCTTTTATTTACATTCAATCACAAGAGGACTTCTATGTGCTCCCACACCTCTTCTCTGCCTCTTTTCCTGGTAAATAGATAGGTTGTTCTAGCTGCTATTTAATGCCAAACTCTTCATTTATGCAATGGATCCCACCGCCTCTCAGCTATTTAGTGACTTGTTCTTTCAGCATGCCTTTGTGTACTACATACATCACAGTGTGCTTTCTTTCAGCACTAAATGAGCTTTCCCTCCACCCCACAGACCTCCTCAACTATGGCACTGGCTTAGCTCCCCTTTGCTGCAGCTCCTGGAAACTATCTCCTGGTTTTGTCGACTCTCCTTTCTCTGCTTGTCTCTCCTTCCTTTCATCAGACATCCCATTTCACAAAAAACAGCTCTTATCAAAGTTAAGAGGGATCTCTATGGTTCAAAATCTCAGCCCAATTAAAGTTAAATTTCAGTCCTTATCGTAGTTGATGAGTAAGTAGCTTTCAGCAATTGATCACTATCAGGTCCTTGAAATATTTCTTTTATTCTAGATTCAGTGAAACCACTCTCTCCATGCTCCTCCTTCCTCATAGCCAGTTCTTACTCCTTTCTTCCTAATCTTTAATTGTTGGTGTATCCCAATTAGCCCTCAGCTCTATTATTTTCTCTGTCCATCCTCATTCACACAGGTAAGCTTATTCAGCCCCATGGGTCTAAATGCCACCCATACAATTAGAGCTCCCAAATGTCCACTTCCATGGAAGTGGAAGTATGGAAATGAGAGGAAAACCCTGGCCTCTGCCCTGATCTCCATGCCCCTACGTTCAGCTCTCTACCAGGCACCTCCACGAAACTGTCTCATCGGTATTGCAAACTATTTCCAAAAATGGGCCCATGGACAGCTTCACACCCAAAGCCTTCCCTCCCTCCCAAAGCGCCTCAGGTGACAAACCTTGGACGCACCTGTGAGTCTCCTCTTTTTCTCTCACCTCACATCTAGACAGCCAATCCCATTCAGTTAGTGTTCAGGATTTATTGTACCAAAATTTGACTCTCTCACTGTATTTTCAGACGTGCTCCCCAGTCTCATCTATCTTCCTGAAATAAATATAAGAGCTTTCTGCAAATCTTTGTGCTGTTATAATTGCAGCCCCCCCACAACCCACAGTCTAATTAAACCACAGAGATCGTATTGAACCCTATTATTGTGTTTAAAAATTGCTTCCCAAATTAGCAACTTTAGAAAACAAATACATATGATTTCCTACAGTTCGGCAACGCGGAGATCCAGGAGAGGTTAATCCAGATGGTTCTGCTCAGGGCCTCTCATGAGGCTGCAGTTCGCTGTCAGCAGCAACCCCCTGCAGTGGCCTCTGCCAGGCCTGGGCTCAGAGAAGCAGGAAGGCTTTTCCGACCTTTCCACTTCGGTCTCCTCTTTCTCTGAAATCCCACCGCCCCTTTGCCTCAGACGCAGTGAACTGTAAAGGTATGCTCCCTCCTGAGGGTTTTTGTCTACATCTTCTTTTTGAGTGATTCACCTTTCCTCGCAGATCCCGACATGCCTCGGTTCTGGGCATGTATAAATTCATAAGAATGACATGAAAATGGTCTTCTTTGTGTCTCTGTGAAGTGATCCGGGTTTGTCAACACCTGTGAGGGCAAATAGAATTGGATACCTATTCGCATGGTTTTTTAGCAAATGAACTTCTCTATTGCATGCAACTAAATATTACCTTAAAACCACGCCAAAGTGTGAAAAACTTTAAAAACACTTCACTTTTGTCCTTTAAAATGGCCGTGTGCTCTCCTGCCCCTTGGCGAGGATCTAATTCTGTCCATTAACTCACTGTTCCTGGAAATATCGAGCACGTTCCCAGAGGCTTCTAGCTGTGCCATACCTTTGAAGCACTGTGTAGTGCTCCATATTGCTATTCACTAAACCTTTGTTTGCCCCTTGAAAATATTTTGTCAATGCCAGTTGTGTTGGATTGTTTTTCAGAACGATATTTGGAAAGGGTCCCCATAAATTAACAAGATCTTTCGCTCAACAAATTCATGGAATGTGTGTATGTGTGTATCCAAATGCAGACCCTCTTTTTCAAAATGATCATCTTGGGAAATTATATACATTCCTGCAGTCAACATGACTCAAAAGACCTTTGCTTATTTCCAGCTGTTCCTAAAGAGTATGGGTCTGGGAAAAGAAAACTGTGGTTGAATTCTAGCTTTGTTTCGTAGTAAATATGGAAAAATTACTTAGACTTACTGGGTCAGAGGGGTTCGTCCATAAAACAGGGAGCATACACAGGTCCTTTGGGGATGGCAGCAGGATTAGAGGCCATGTATGGAAGGCGTGCAGCCCTGTTGCTGGCAATAGTACAATGAATGAGCACATCTGCTCCATCACTACTTCATGTTTGCCTCCTCTTAATGAGTCATCAGTGCCAGCTTCAGAGGCTGATTTTGTGAGGCTAGAAAACAAGTTTCCACCTATTGATCTCAATCTGTTGTTTTGAAAACTCTTCTCCCTGGTTCTGAATGCCTGCCTCCAAATCTGACTCTACCCCTGTCTGCATCTCTCTTAGGCTTGTTGGTTTTCTTTTTTTCTTTTTTTTTTTTGAGGTGGAGTTTCACTCTCGTTACCCAGGCTGGAGTGCAATGGCGCAATCTCAGCTCACCGCAACCTCGCCTCCCAGGTTCGAGGGATTCTCCTGCCTCAGCCTCCTGAGTAGCTGGGACTACAGGCATGCACCACCATGTCCGGCTAATTTTGTAGTTTTTAGTAGAGACGGGGTTTCTGCATGTTGGTCAGGCTGGTCGCCAACTCCCGACATCAGGTGGTCCGCCTGCCTCGGCCTTCCAAAGTGCTGGGATTACAGGCATGAGCCACTGCGCCCGGCTGGCTTGTTGGTTTTCTTTCTGGATTTAGATGACAGCTTCCTTGTCCAGTGATCACTTGCACCGCCATCCCCGTTCCCGCCTCAGTACATTCTATTAGCTTAGACAAGGTCTTTGTACTTCACATCCGGCTATAGTGCTTGTTCCTCATCCTAGCTCTGGCCTGCTTCAGCCAGCCTCCCTTACTCCTAAGAAAAAGATGAACATTAAAAAAAAAATACTTTTGGAAATAGTGTGTATCTTTAGAAAATTTATTTGTACTAATTTATAATCACATGTAAATAAGGAGATCTGCAAATTCTTTAGGGCAATATATAGAGACTGAGTATTTTATTTCACTGTAATTTAGTTTAAGCCTCAGGGATAACAAATTTAAAGGCTCACAAGGTGGAGAAGATTTAGTTGAACCCAAGAAGGTAGAAATCCTTAATTTCTCTTTAGAAAACTAAATTGTCTTCAACATGTAAGTATTGAGTTACAAAAAAAAAAAGAAGAAAGAAAAGAAAAGAAACCCACCCATGTGCCTTCTCGGCATAAGGGCAGCCACATGATGTTGGCTTGCACGTAATGCCTTATTTTAAAACTGCTATTTATTTGCTAAAATATGTGGGCTCTGAACACCTGTCCTTTTTTGATGGCTTTTTTTGTTGTTGTTGAATTTATTTATTTTTAAAAGGAGACTGCAAGAGGTTCTGGTTACAGACACATAGTATATTGTGGGCTTTCCTTATCAGCCAATGCTGGGGTTGGAGGTAGCTCACTCTGTGGGCACCACTCACGTGAGACTCGGACCTAGTACGAGACTGGAAACCCAAACATACTGATTTCCAGGGAGGAAAGAGAGGGCTATTAAAAGTCACAGAAATTTGGTGACTTATGGCATCACTGGCATTTGGGGCCCCTAGTAGAGCAGATAGGGTGCTCAGAGTGCGGGGGGATCATCAACACTGTTTCCTTGGGCAACCGTGATTCCCAGCAGAAATGCTAGGTTAGGTAGTCTATGCATAGAGCCGGATTTCCTTTCCATCTCTTCACCAGCAAGAATGAAAAGAGTTAAATATGGGAATTTGTATAGGTGAAGATTTCCCTCCCCCAAAGTCATCCTCTATTAAGCCGCCACAAAGGACGGGCTGCTCAGGGATTCACTGGCCTCCTAGAAATACCTGTTCTGGGCTCCCTCCCCAGGCCACCATGGGGATGGCCAGCTCTCCACTTCGGTCCCTCCTCAGAGTCAGAGGAGCAGCAGGATAGAGACCTGCCCGGGGGAAGGGGCATTCCTCCCAGGTTGCAAAGCTGAAGAAGGCCTGTTGGGGCCTGAAGTCTGCAATGGCTCGGTCCATTAGAACTAATATAACAAAACACCTCAAGCCGGGGGGATCTTATACACAAGAGAAATTTATTGCTCACAGTTCTGGAGTCTGGAAGTACAAGATCAAGGCACCAGCTGATTCAGGGGCTAGTAAGGGCCAGATCCAGGTTCCTGGATAGTGCTTTCTGGCTGTGTCCTTACACCTGGCTAGGGCCAGGGCAGACCTCCCCTGTCTCTTCTTCTGAGGACACTACTCCCATTATGGGGGCCTTTATTATTCAGGGCTCTCTAGAGGAACAGGACTAACAGGATAGATAGATAGATAGATAGATAGATAGATAGATAGATGAAAAGGAGTTTATTAGGAGAATTGACTCACGATCACAAGGCAAAGTCCCACAATAGGCTGTCTGCAATCTGGGGAGCAAGGAAGCCAGTCCAAGTCCCAAAACCTCAAAAGGAGGGAAGCCGACAGTGCAGCCTTCACTCTGGGGCCGAAGGCCAGAGAGCCCCTGACAAACTACTGGTGTAAGTCCAAGAGTCCATAAGCCAAAGAACTCGGAGTCTGATGTTTGAGGGCAGGAATCACCCAGCACGGGAGGAAGATGAAGGTGGGAACGTTCAGTAAGTCAGCTTCTTCCACCTTCTTCTGCCTGCTTTTTCTAGCTGTGCTGGCAGCTGATTGGATGGTGCCCACCCACACTGTGGTGGGTCTTCCTGAGAGGGATTTTCCTATCCCATGCTACGTTTTTTTTTTTTTTTTTTTTTTTTTTTTTTTTTTGGAGTCTCACTCTGTTGCCAGGCTGGAGTGCAATGGTGAGATATCGGCTCACTGCAACCTCCGACTCCCTGGTTCAAGTGATTCTCCTGCCTCAGCCTCCCGAGAAGCTGGGATTACAGGCACCTGCCACCATGCCAGGCTGTTCTCAATTTCCTGACCTCAAGATCTGCCTGCTTCAGCCTCCCAAAGTACAGGGGTGAGCCAACGCACCCAACCCCATTCTACTGTCAATCTCTTCTGACAACACCCAGAAACACCCAGATACACCCAGAAACAATACTTTGGATCCTTCAATCCAGTCAAATTGACACTTACTATTAAGCATCACAAGGCTGCTGCTTTAATGACCTAATCACCTTGAACAAGGCCTCACCTCCTAACACCATCAGATTGGTGACTGGGTTTCAACATAGGAATTTTGAAGGGTCACACACATTAGGGCTATAGCTATAAATACTATGAAAGTAATTTTGCTGTAAAATAAAAATCCACTTTAATGTAAACATTTTTCTTAGTCTCATATCTAATTTGGAAATATCTAAACTGACAGTTTGCTAATATCCAGGAATTTCAGTAAAAGAAGGGCTGATTTGCTTATAGACAGGAGAGATTGCTCTCAGGGATAACCTGAAGGTCACTGAGACTCTCGGCTAAAATGTCTTCTTCATGCCTTTTTTCTGAAGTCTCACTCTATTGCCCAGGCTGGAATGCAGTGGCACAATCTCAGCTCAATGCAAGCTCTGCCTCCCAGGTTCATGCCATTCTCCTGCCTCAGCCTCCCAAGTAGCTGGGACTACAGGTGCCTGCCACCACTCTCGGCTAATTTTTTGTATTTTTTTTTTAGTAGAGACAGGTTTTCACAGTGTTAGCCAGGATGGTCTCGATCTCCGGACCTCGTGATCAGCCTTGCAGAGTGCTGGGATTACAGGCGTGAGCCACCGCGCCCGGCCTCATGCCTCTTCTTTAGGGGTCTGAGAACTTCCAATTAGAAACAGTACCAGAGGCTTAAATGTTCTTTAAGAAAGCCATTAATAATTAGCTACTAATGGTCAATGACACCTTCACATGTGATCACCGATAGCTCTATTGAGTACCTAGTGTGTTCCATGAACAGCCACATCTTGATTCTCACATGAAAGGATGGGCCTCATTTTCACAGGAGAATTCTGAGGATCAGATAGCAAGTGAGGGGCAGAGGCATTGACACTCAGACCTGTCTCGTTCTAAAACTAAGGCTCTTTCTAGAGTGGAAATGCCAAGGCCATTTAGGAGGATGATCTAAGGGGGCTTTCTGGATACTGGTCCAACACCCCAGTGTGCAGCATGGAAGAGCAAGGGAGACACAAGAAAGGCAGGAGAGCATAGCATTGTGTGTGGGGAGGGTGCCAGGCCCTTCAAGCTCTGGCACGAATGTGAGTCCCTTACTGAAGCCTTCCCTGAAGACCCAGACAGGGAGGGGTCACTGTCACATAACCAAGACATCACACCACGCAACTCCCACACCACCCACACCACACACCACACACTCTCCACACACCACACACCAAACACCCTCCACACACCACACACCACAGACAAACCACACACCACACACCCTCCACACACCACACACCATACTGCACATTGCACATGCTACACATACCACATACACCACATGCCACACTCTACACCCCACACACCACACACCACAGACACAACACATACACCACACACCACACACACTCCACACACCACACCCCACACACACCGCACACACCACACCCCACACACCACACCCCACACTACATATATACCACACCACACACCACACACAAACACTACATACCACACTTACACATACACCACATTCACACACCACACAACACATATACAGATGCCACACATACACATCACAGAACTCATACATGGACACACACATACAGAGACATCACATACCCATACACACATACCACATACACACACAAAATACACCACACCACACACATAGACACACACACCATATGTGTACACACACACATATATACACACCACACATACATGCATCATATGCCATATGCACCACACAATACACATATACTCACATACATGTCCACCACACACACATCACACACCCCACAGCATACATGCACACACATAAATACACACCAAACACACATGCCACATACCACCTGCACACAGTACACTACACACAAACACACACCACACATACAACACCACATGGGACACACAACATAAACATCTCACACACCAAACACACATCCTTCATATCATATGTCTATACACACATACCACACATACATCAAATACCACACACAGAACACACATACCCACACATGCCCACCACACACACCACAGGTACATGCACACCATGTATCAAAAACAGACACATACTCATACACCATATACACACCATGCATACTGCACACACAGACGTGCACATATACAACACCCCCCATGCACACTGTTGGAAGGACCAAATAATGCAATAATCGAAAATGAGCTAAACTTAGTTACAATGTTGGGTGCTTCAAATATCGTATTCCCTGGATTATTAACAACTGTTTGTGTCAACTTTAATTAAAAAATATTGCCCATGAGTTCATATTTCTGATTAACTGAATAAATGAAGAAGAGAGTGCAAATTTCCTATAAATAAGAATCTCAATTAATGTAGTTAGGTGCTCCCTCCTCATTGAAGTTGAGAGTAATTCCCTACCCCTTGAAGTGGGCTGAGCTTAGTTACTTCCTTCCAAAGGGTACACAGGGAAAGAAGGAAAAGCAGTGAGTTTATAATGAAGAAGACTGGCACCTCCACTCCCGCCAGATGACAGGTGTGTATCGCTGGTGACGAGGCATGGAGACAGCATATTCTGCCACGATGACAGGATGGCAAACCCACTCCTCTGGTCTTCCTCCCAGCAACAAATAGCCCTAGTCTAACCATGAAACAAACATCAGGGAAACACACATTAGGGGGCATTCTGAAAACCACCTGATCAGTACTTACCAAAACTGTCTCAGTCATCAAAAACTAGGAGAATCTGGGAAACTGTCACAGTCGAGAGGAGCCTGAGGAGACACGATGCTAAATGACACGGAGGATCCTGGATCTGACACCAGAGCACAAAAAGGACATCAGGACATCAGTGTTGAGTACCTAAAGTGTTGAGTTCAGTGAGTAGTCAAAAACAAAATAAACATTGGCTACCTAATAAACATTGCCTATTAAGTCAGTAGACATGAACTGTGGGTGTCGGCTGGGTATAAAATCCAGGGGCAGACAAGCTTCACTGAGAAAAGCAGGAGACAGCTACACCAGGATACAGATGGCCACAGCCACTTCCTAGAGAGGGCGATTTCCTGGGACTCTAAAACTTGAGCTAGAGGTGAGGGGAGAGTCGTAAAAATCCAAGTAAGGAAAACCTGAGCAATGGAGGAGAAACAAGACATTTCATGGAACATTCTGGAAGTGACAAGTGGTCCTACACCACGAGAGCATGGGGTTGGGGTTTGCCACATTTTTTGTGATTGTGTGATTCACATCTTGTTTCCAAGCTAAATAAAAGTTCTAGGACTTGTGTGAGGGTTTGCACACCAACACACTCCTGTTCCTAACACAGCTTCTAACTGCACAATCATTGCTTAAAACTTAATATTGACATAAAAACAGAAAAAAGGAAAAGAAGGATGGTGTGAGGGAGGAACTAAGAGAGGGAGGAGAAGGAGGAAGGAATGAAAACTGAGTTTCCTGCGGTAAATCTTCCAGGGCCTCTGTGCCGCCCTCTGTGCTATGGTCCACGCGTGGCATCTCGTGAACCAGGAGAAGGAAGGCATTCTCTAAGCCAGAACGAGCTGTCTTTACTCTAAAATTAAGTAATGTACCTTTCCTTATTTAATAAAGTACATCAACTAGAAAATAATTGCTTTTAAAAATTCCTCTTCAAATTTTGTCATCTGTTGCTGTTTGCTGGTTTGGTGAGCATTACCGGATTATGAAACAAATGAAAATGTTGCAAGTGAATATTAGTGGATATACATGAGATATTATTTTGAGATATTTTACTTTATGTTTAAAATATATTCTCTTAGCAAAATTTCTTGCATGAATAACAGAATAACATGTGTCTGAATATCACAGAATTTCACAAGGAAAATCTTCACTTCCCCTAAAATAAGCACGTTTGAATCACTACTTTAGAAATGAGAGCACCCGAACATGTCTTGGGGCAGAGTGGTGATGAGTGATGTAAGATGAAGTAAAGTGTGGTGGAAGACAGGTCAGTGTGGGGGGCCACACAGCTTGGACAGTGCTCCAGACAACTGTAAGGGAAGTATCAGCAGAAACGAGGGAGAGGAGTTGTGGCTTGGGGAAAAATGAAATTACTAGCGTGAAGCATATTGGGTGGAAAGTGTAGAAATAGAGTAAATCTGAATGAAAAATCCTGCCAAGGTCTTCAGCAGTTTAGGAATTGAATACGTCTCATTTTGGTTTAGAGAGTCAAGGCCTTCATCTTCTATCAGTATGGTGGGATAAACATCCAGAGACATTTTTACCTATTTATTATAGACACGATATGATAATACATTATATATACAATATACACATCTAATGGAAATAGACAAGGGCATGTTCCACATGCTGAAGGCAGAGCCAAAGTGAGAATCCTCAGCGAACAATGGAAAGACCGACAGGAGGACCCTGGAGAGGCCAGATCACACGGGGCTCTGCAAGTCATACTAGAAACTGTGGCTTCTACACTGACAGAAACAGGAAACCAGAGGCAGCTTCTGAGCACAGGCATGAGGCGATCTGACAGGTTTAATATCAGTCCTCTGAATGGTAGGTTGAGAGGAAGCTTTGTTAGAACAAGAGTAAGAAAGGGAGCCTGGTTGGGAGCCTATTTGTCCTCCAGGTAAGGGGTGATGTTGGCTTGAATAGGATGGTAGGAGTGAAATGGTAATAAGTGGCCAATTATGGAAACACATTGATGTCAGGGTCAATAGGATTCCTGGAAGAATTGATGTGGGTTGTGAGAAAACGGTTTGTGTTAAATCTCAGAAGAAACCTGAGTTTGGGTAGTGCACAAAGTGGGAGAAAAATGAAGAGGGAAAACAGGGAAGCGAAGGGAGGAAAACTCTCCGGAAGGAAAGGGCAGTTGACTGTGTTCTGTGCAGCTGCTGATCCCTGCAGTGTGGAGATGAGAATTAACCACTGGACTCAGTCACACCACAGGGATCACTGACTTGACGGAGCGACTTCTTGGATTAGGAGGCGTCACTAAGACAAAATGGTAAAACAGCGTTTTAAATATACTAAAGAATAAGACTTATGTTTATATGCTGATAGGAATGAGTCATTCTAGAGAGAATAACCTGCAATATGGCAGGGAAAGGCCAACACTGGAGGACTGGAAGCTGTCCATGAGTGGACGAGACACAGGATCTAGGGAAAAAGTAGAGGATCCACTTGAGACAGGATTATAGAAAGGAAAGATTTGCAGTTAGTAGGCCACACTGAAGAGGGCCAAGTGCAGAGACTGGCAAGGTAATTACTGATAAATAGCCCCCGATTTTATTATTAGAAAGGTAAGATAGCCTTAATGAGGGTAGTCACTGTGGAATTCCTGGGGAGAAAAGACAGTTGAAGGAAATTTCAGAAAAAGATAAAACAAGTATAGATAACGCAAGACACATGGCTACAGAGGAGAGGAGGAAGCAATGAAGATACGTGATATGGAAGCATGTTGGGAGGTTTTTATTGAGGTAAAATATACATAATTAACCATTTTAACTATTTTAAGTGTATAATTCAATAGCAGTAAGTATATTCACAATATTATGCAAGCATCACCACCATTTATGTCCAGAATTCCAGAATATATTTTTATCTTCCTAAATTAAAAGAGGGCTTTTTGAGGAGAGAATCTTTGGTACAAATGTAGTCAATAAAGAAATAATTAAGAGAGAGTTTGCAAGTAAAAGGGGAATTAAAATAGATGAAAAAAGGGATGGCTAGCTAGATGGGTATGAATGGATGCATGGATGGATGGATGTGTGGATGGATGAATGGATGCATGGATGGATGGATGTGTGGATGGATGGATGGATGCATGGAGGGATGGATGGATGGATGGATGTGTGGATGGATGGATGGATGGATGGATGGATGATGGTGCCAAGATCCAGTCTGGTAAACAGGGTAAGATTCAAGCATAAAGGCAAAGTTTGGGCAAGAAAATGGAAAGAATTTTTTTTTTTTAAGAGAAAATCTCTGTCGCCCAGGCTGGAATCTCAAACTTTTGGGCTCAAGTGATCCTCCCACTCCAGCCTCCTGAGTAACTAGGACTACAGGCACACACCACCATTCCCACTCCAGCCTCCTGAGTAACTAGGACTACAGGCACACACCGCCATGCCTGGCTAAATTTTTTGTTATATAGAGACAGGGATCTTGCTATGCTACACAGGCTGGTCTCAAACCCCTGGCCTCAAGAAAAGCACTGAGATTACCAGTGTGAGCCACCGCACCCAGCCAGAAACTATTATTTTCAAATCAACTACTCCTTAGGCAGACAACATCTATTATCTAATGTAATCCTCACGACAACCATGTGTGGTAATTATTATTGTAGTCTTTTCATGAATGAGGAATCTAACATTGAGAGCATTTAATGTTCCCTGAGTTGCAAAGCTAATAATTGTTGAGCTTGAGTTTGAGCCTATATGTATTTAATTCCACAGCCTAGTCCGGAGGCATTGTCTAAAATGCCACTCATTCTTTTGTCCATTCAACATAATAATATCTGCAATGTGCAAGTGTCGTATTAAGTAACTGAATAAGATCGTAGGCTTTATTTTTTCCACTTTGGACATTTTCCATATTGGCCATATCTATTTATATGATGAATTATTAACTGTCTAAAACTGGCACCTAAATAAATGTGCCCAATGCCTCCATTTAACCCACTGATTTACTTAATCAATTGCTTATGTGTTCATTCCACAAATATTCACTAATTTCAGTCAATACTTTTATCGTTGTCTTTGTGCCAGGCACTGTGCTAAGCACGGAGATATACTGGTAACTGTTATTGGCATGTTTCCTGCTGGCATGGAATTCTATGGCTAACATGCTTGCATTCATACAAGAAGGTAGGGAGTAGGATAAGACCGTGAGGGAAAAAAAATAGACATAAATAGACCTGGAGTCCGCCTTCCTCATGTAGGAAGGCCATCCCAGTAGATACTGAGTTTAAAGGGATCTTTCAAACTCACTTTGTCTCTGGGACAGCAGGAACCTGAAGTCAGTCTGCTCTGATGAGAAGAAGCAACATGCATCCTCTGCCTTCTGGAAAATGGGGCTCTTAGTTCCAGATGAATGTCCAGGAAGCTAAACCCAGAAGTATAAAGCCTTTTTAGGTGCTCTGATAAGAAAAGCCAGCTTTGAGGAAGAGCTATGTTAGGATATGAGTGAGAGACTCCTGCTTAGTCTACAGCAGAGCTGATGGTGGTCTCTGTGGGAAGAAAATGCAGCGGAGCCCCAGGGCCAGAGCGTAATGCCTCTTACAGATCCTTACAACGCAGAAATATTTGACAGTCACGAAGCTAAAAGGACAATATTCTGCAGAGTGCAAGGGAGTTGAGTCTCTCCTGGAGTCAGAGGACTCACTGTGAGATGCCCTGTGGCTAACGGAGATGAGATGTGAGGCACTGTTCCTTTAGATGTGATTCCTTTTAGACCAGGGTCCTGTGTGTTGGGACTGAAAGTAGCTGCCATGATGTGGGACACTCGGAGCTATGGTGGACCCAGGTAGGAAAGGTGGGGCTCACAGCAGCACACTGTGAAGCTCAGTGGGATGCAGTAGCAAGCTCCAGGGAACACTGGCCCTTCCAGAGGACTCCTTGGACCTGCCTTTCCAGGGATCCTGCCTTATGGATCCTTCATGACTTTCCCAGTGGAATTTCCTAGAAAGAGATCTATTACAAACATGTCTTAATAAAAATGCATGAAAGAGAATGTTGAGATTTGTACTAGTGTGATTACTGAGAAGGGAGAGCAAGGCAGAAGTCAGCATGATATTCCTCAGGGCAAATGCCTGTGGGAAAACGTGGGGAGGGAGTTGGAGAGGCTGGAAGAGCCATTTAACCGCAATGCACATCTGAGCTTGTGCGAAGGCCAGAGGGCCAGAGGGAAGGTTCTGTGGAAGCCCTGAGACCTCAGTGCAGTTCTAAGGAAAGTTTGGCCAGGGCTTCAGAGACTCCAGGAGCCAAAAGAGCCCTGCATCCCCCAGGGACAAGCCAACCTTACATCTGCTACACTCAGTCACTGGCTGAGAGCAGCCTGTGGGTTTCATAAGTTTGGAGCTGGGGCCAGGGCCAATGAGGTTCTGCCAGTCCCAGAGCTGCAATGTGCCAATATGTAAAATTATTTAGTCTTCTTTTAAAATCTGCTGCACCTGAAAAGCATTAGTTTTTATCATATGGATGAATAAACAGATATTTTTGTTAAGTGTCATGAATCAATCAAAACTAATCTGAAAGAAGAGATAACCAGAAACCACTTCATAGTTCTGTTTTCTAAAGACAGTGTTAACCAAAAATTATATACAAAGAAAAGTAAATTTGAAAAAATTGTCCTCAGTAAAATAAAGCTACTATTGTATAATTGTTAGCCCAGTGCCATAAAATAATGTATCCTGAGTTTGATATGGTTAATGTAAGTCAGTGTGCCTAACACGGTTTTTAGGCACACTGACTTACATTAACTAATAATTTATAGCTAGCAATTTATTTTTTGTTGGCATCAGGAGTTTATCAATGCATACATAAACCTATGATTTTCCCATGTAGAATGATCATTTTACTGTATTGCTATTAGAGCATACCATGGTAGTCCAGTAGTCCACTAAATATAATAGGGGCCTCAGTGTATATATATATATATATATATATATATATATATATATATATATATATACTGAGTGTACATATATATATATATATATATACTGGGTGTATATATATATATATACCGGGTATATATGTATATATGTATATATATATACACACACCCAGTATATGTGTATATATATATACACATATATATATCAGTATATATATATACTGAGGCCCCTATTATATTTATATGAGTATATATATATAGTAGTCCAGTAGTCCACTAAATATATTTATATAAATATATATAGTAGTCCAGTAGTCCACTAAATATATATATACTGAGGCCCCTATTATATATATATTTGAGTGTATATACACTGAGTGTGTGTGTGTGTGTGTGTGTGTATATATATATATATATATATATATATACATAATGGCACCTGAACATGTATATTCCTGGCACTTCAGCAAATACAGGTGGTGGCTGCCATAGTTACAAATGTGCGTGTTTCCAGAATGTTTACCAAATGCCAAAATGACTTTTCAATGTGTATAGGTTCACATAGCTGTGAATAATTTTGGTCAATAGAAAAAAAAACAGCGGGAAGGCTTTTATGAGAAAGAATCAAATCATGCTGATTTGTTTTTGGTTTTGTATAATCTGGTATGCTGCCTAATGCATAACAACTGGGACGAGAAGCCAAGCCAGTCCACACTAGCTGAGCCATCTATGCCTTCTCCCCAATCTGTGCTTACTAACCTGCTTGCTACTGGGTGTCACTATTTTGTTTTAAGCAGGAATAGCTACAGAGATGACCAATTTTTCACACATAAGAACACATAAAGTAATTGTAATGGACAATATTTGCAATAATAATGATTCTAGGAATATTTACCTTTCTACCGTATGCCTGTGACTTAAATGGTGATTTCCTCCTGGCTTTAGATATAGGCTTCTTTCTCTCTCTCTCTCTCTCTCTCAGTTGGACATGATTAAAGATAAGTGGCCTTGTTATAAGCCAGCTTTGTTCTCTTCTTCACAAAATGAAGCCAGAAGCACCAATAAGGACAGAGCTGGATGTGCAGGAGCGACATTTGCATACTGCAGTTTATAGAGGCTGCAAACACAACACAATTAATGGATGGCTTACTTTGAAAATCCGAGGGAAAGAAAGTCTTGGTTTCATACATTTTTTGCTAATTGGACAGAATGTTCATAAATGAATTACTGCCCATATTCAACTGTAGGTTTTTCAAACTTGGAGGACATTTCTTGGGAAAACTGACTTAATTAAGTAAGAAGGGATGGGCTGCTTGGACTGTTTGAAACAAATACTAATTTGTAAAGATCCACATGGCCACAAGATTGCTATCAAAGCAACTTATGCAGAAAGTATGAAATTAACACATACACTTTCTTAATTCTCAAAAGGAGGGGGAAAAGATGCTGATGAAGTCAGCTATAATTACCTACAGGGAAATATTGGAATCCATCTTATTGTCACCCAGACCTTACACATTTCATGCGGAATGGATGCCTCAGGGCCCATGTATACATGAGCTCTGACTGGAAGTAGGAAAGTCTAGCCAACTTTGTTTTCTTTTATCTTAAAAGACAGGCTAAGTTTATTTAAAGCAATTAAACCATGCCGGTTATAAGTAGATGTCAGTTTCTTATAAGTAGAATGTTTCCAAAGAAAATCTGTTTGAGAAGACAAGGTTTTCTGTGGCCTAGCTTCTTTTTAAATGGGTGAAATTATAACAAGAACAGGATTACTGTTGAATTAAAAAGACCCCACGACATGTGGCTCTGTGGCCCACAATCTGTCATGTTTTTATGGATGCATAAAAGATGGACGAGTTTATCTTTGTGCATCTCCTGCACAGGTGTTCTGCCGCCACGTTTAAAAGCACCGCAGAACATACGTCTGCCCCACCAGGCGGGCTCCTGCGACCTCCCATTAATGTGCAGGCGTGGCGAGCAAGCTCCGGGTGCAGCCTGGGAATCGGCCTCCTGATTTCGAAACACTGGCTTTTATCTTCGCACTGAGCATTGTACTGCAGCTGTCATATGGCTCTGCATTTTAAATTCCATTGCCTGTCAATCCTTGGCAAATGAAGAAAGGAAATCAACCATAAAACCGGGAGTTCTGTGAAGCGGCGATGCTTGCATCTTGGAGGACCTTGGGTGTAGCTTGTCTTTAATTTGCTCCAAAGTAGACAGTTATTTGTGTTTTAAAATGTATTTTAAAGGCTTTGAGTTCAGACTAAAATCAAAGGATAAGAAATCAAAAAATCGAGACAACAGAGAAAAAAAAATCTGTGAAGCCGGAAGTTTCCCCGAATCACTAAAGACCAAAGGATGCGGTTTTCCAAAGTGCATGCGGTGTGGGCTGCGGCCTCTTCATCATTAGAACGGAGCTTGAAAAGATTCAGAGGAAGTATTTAAGATGGAGAGAAATTCTTTAATACACAGATAATTTGGAACGGGGTTGTGGTTCCCACTAGGCTTACTACTATGGGAAAATTCAGAGACTCTCTGAGTGTTTGTACCACACACTTGCGGAGGAGCTTTGATGGTACATCTGCTCAGAGGCTGGAGAGAACAGGACCAGTACAGTCAGGTCTTTGTAAAGCTTTTCCTCTGAACCAGGTCTCTGTTACATGAAATCCGAGACTCCACATGCCTGCTTGCTTCCAAACAGCGAGATGGAGCAAATCATTTAAAATTCACGCAAACCTCAAGTAGATATTGTAAGGCGTCATTGCAGTGATGCAAACCTTAGTCTTACTGAATTATTTTACATAATGTTTGGAAGATGTTTTAGAGGAAACTCTTTTCTTTCTCCAGGACTCATTATTATGTATTAATATAAAATCTCTTTCCAATGCAGTAATCTATTTCGACATCAAAGTAGCACTTTAATTCTGTGACACCCTTTTACTTTAAAAAAATGTACTTTGGGAATGAACTTTACATAGACCATATCAGCTGGGTAGGACTAACACAGAAGCATCATGCGTAGGCAGTGTGTGAAGAAGTTAGCATTTTCTTAAACATAATTATTTCTCTTATCATTTAAAGTATAGAAAAATTAAAAAATATAAAAAGATAACTTTCTTGAATGATATACAGTGCTACAAAACTCAGATACCACTATTAATAGTGTGATATTTTTCTATGAGAAAGTTATTAATTCAATTCATAATCATATTTATTGTGTAGCTGAAACTTTTCAGTACATTGCTATTAAAACGCTAACCAGTTTTGCACCTTCTACCAACAGTGAATGGGTGGGTTCATTCTATTGGATTGAACTTTCATCATGTGTTGGGGTGTGTCTGTATGTGTGTGTGTATGTATGTGTGTGTGTGTATGTGTATGTGTGTATCTGTGTGTGTGTGTGCTTGTGTGTATGTGTGTGCGTATGTGTGTGTCTGTATGTGTATGAGTGTGTGTATGTGTGTATGTGTATCTGTGTATGTATGTGTATGTGTGTATGTGTGTGCATGTGTGTATGTGTGTGTGGATGTGTGGATGTGTGTGTACCTGTGTGTATGTGTATGAGTGTGTATGTGTGTGTATGTGTGTGTGTTTGTGTGTATGTGTATGAGTGTGTGTTGTATCTGTGTGTATGTGTATGAGTATGTGTGTATGTGTATGTGTGTATGTGTATGAGTGTATGTGTGTGTATGTGTATGTGTGTATGTGTGTGTGATTATGTGGATCAGTGTGTTGTGATTTGGTAATCAAAAATGCGGTTCTCTGATTTCTAGTGTGTGAGCATGTGATTTAGCCAGTCATGCTTCTTAAAATTATCTATTCATAGGCTTTGCTCATTTATTGAGGCTTTAGTGGTTTTCAATTAGAATTGCACTAGCTCTTTATATAATAAGTACATTAACCTTTATCTGCTGTGATTTCAATTAACTTGGCTAATTTTATATAAATTTCACATTTGTATAAATTTTTTCAACAATTTTGACTGTGTAATTTTTTTCCATAGTTTTTAAACTTAGACAAGAGATAGCATTCTACTAAGGTCTCCTGATATAAATAGCTGCTTGAATCCTATGGCAAACTTGAATTTTGCCAAAAAGAGGTCATTTCATGTCAGGGCACTAATCTATAATATAATTATCCACATAACCTCATTAAACTGTCATCTGGATCGGTGCTTGTGTTCTGACACATGATCATCTCCCCACATCAAACATGCAGATTCATCTTACCTCTTATCTGAACGCTCTGAACATTCTTGTGTTAGACATGTCTAGACTTGGGGCGGTTTTTAGTTTTCTCAACCAAGGAAACTATGAAAGCATAGAGTAGGTTAAAGTTATTTACTTGGACCTGAGGTTTAGGTGTTTTATCAGATTTCAAGGTCATTTCCAAGGAAATACACTCTTAGCTGAAACAGAGAAAACGGTTGGCAACTTTTAGCTTTCTCTCAATGAACTTAGAGAATTATAATACTTTAGAGTTTAAAAACTTAAAGACAACTGTTTATTTTCTTTTTTTAAATGAGGGATTATAGCAATGTATATTGTTGTTGTTTTTTCATTTGTTAAGGGGGAATTAAGTCTGAGAGGGATTCAGTGACTTGCCCAGGTCTGCAGAGAGGCTGCTGGCAATTTTAGTGGGGGAAACAACCAGGATTTGGAGTTGAGTTCTTTGTTTTGTTTTGTTTTTATTATATGTTAGATACGACATGCCTTTGGTCAAATCAGGACTGACTTTGGTCTTATTAGATAGCCCCCACTCAGAATAAATCAATTTATCAGTATCACTGTGTGTCACACAGTACAGACTTGTCTTGGTAGTGATGGGTTATGACTTTGAATTCCAAATAACATTTAAGCAAAGACACTCTGATCATGCTTGATAGGAATGCTTTTTACCTCAAGGCCCTATTTCTTCCTGTGAGTTTGTTACCAGTACAATCTCTTTCATAAGTATTGCATACTCCTCAGAGAAGAAGTATATATTCTTCTTAAGGAAGGTGAGGTGCACAGTACTTAAAAAGATAAGCCTCTAAGAAACCCTCCTGAAGTCCACTCATTCTATAAAAGGAGTAGTCAGTTCAATTAGTTTGGTAAGTTTAAAATATCCAAAACATTCCTAAGTTGTTTGCAATTCAGAAAACAAATTATAGTGGTCACCAAACCAAATTTATTTTTCTAACCATTATTGAAACCCAAGGAAGATGCAATGTATTTGTTATTAATTAATTTGGTCATTGAAAACCTTAAAAGAAAGATTTGCTTTAGGATCCTAGAAACATTAGAAGTCATTCTACACTTAATCTTTCTTCAGATATCTGACATTGAAAAGTAGGAAAACAAAACTTGGGAAAAGTGTTTTGCAAGAGACTCTTCCAAGCCTGCATTGTAGGGGATGGCTCAGGCTGGCCGCTGGTCCCTCCTCTGGGCAACAGGAATCTTGCTGTGGGAGCAGCAGCCGCACCTACTGGCTCTCACTGGCTGCAAAGGCAGATTAGAGGCGTAACTGTGGGTGACCCTGCCAGAAACACACAGTTGCTCCTGGGACTCCCAAGTTCCTTGGTCAGATCTTATTTGTGTTTAGTGATCCAAGTCCAATTATGGACTTCTACTCAAAGACCCTTCCTTTTCTCATCCTCTTCTCTCTTGGCATTTCTTATTGGCAATTTCTTTTTAGAAATGTTGGATATTATGGTCCTAGAGAAGCAGCAGGTCCCCACAGCAGCACCACCACCCATGGGAGCTTTGTGGTTTCTCAACAGCTTCTGAAAACTAAAACTTGTCCTCCTGAGGGTAGGTGGGAAAGGCTTGGAGGAGTCGCACACCTGACCGCTGTGCCACAGGCATTCCTGAGAAACCAGTTGAATGGATTTTTCTTCCTATGGGCTTCTGGCTAAAGGGACAGAGAATGAAACCTAAGAATAACTGGGGAGAATGTCAGTGACTCCACTGTTCAGTTCCTCTCTTTCAAATGGCATGATCTGTCCAAGTTCTATTTTCTTTACCAAAATATCTGGCCATTAACATATCCCAGGGTACTCTTTGGGCAATGAGGACCAAGGCACTCTAAAAAACTTTCCCTCAGCAGTTTCTAATCTTAACTGGCAATAAGCAAACCTGATTAATATGCGGTGAGCAAAAGCAGAATAAGGAAATGATGAGAATGTCTTGAGTATGCAGTAACTTCTCTCTCTAACCACTTTCATCTCTCAATGACGAGGATCAAGATGCCTTAGCATTGCTTCATTCCATTCACTTCTTTCCTCATTCAAAAAACAATGAATCAAAGTACAGAGAAATTAGAGCTTATGAGGTGTTTTCTAGTAATCTCATTTTAATTTTCATAACATTTTTGTGCAGAACTAGAGCATATGTTGTTTCTTTGTCTTAAGATGAGAGAAATATGGCCCAGAGGTCACAAAGCGTTTGAATAAGGTAATAGGGCCACATGGGGACTGACTGTCAGAACTTGCCTGAAATCGTTTGGCTCTGTGTCCCCACCCGAATCTCATCTCTAACTGCAATACCCACCTGTCAAGGGAGGGACCTGGCAGGAGATGATTGGATCATGGGGGTGGTGACCCCCATGCTGTTCTTATGAAAGTGAGTGAGTTCTCATGAGGTCTGGTGGTTTTATAAGTGGTGGTTTCTCCTGTTCTCTTCTGTCTCTTTCCTGCCACCATGTGAAGAAAGTCCTTGCTTACAGTTTGCCTTCCGCCATGACTCTAAGCTTCCTGAGGCCTTCCCAGCCATCAGAACTGTAAGTCAATTAAACCTCTTTCCTTTATAAATTACCTAGTCTTGGGTGTTTCTTCACAGCAGTGTGAAAATGAACTAATACACAATCCTCAGACTCTGCACCCAGCTTCCTTTCTGCTGCATCCTCCTAGTCCCACTCAAATGCCCTCATGCAAATTTCCCAAACACCCTTCAATTTGTCCACATTTGCATGATTCTGAGTCTTTGGCTAACACAGTGCATATTCTGTAGTCCATTTGTAAATTATATTACTCTCTGAAGAATCCAGTAAGTTTCTTTGTCTCTTTCCACTGGTTTTTAGTTGCCTGATCATAGCATAGCACAATCATATGGTTATATGGATCCTAGCACCTTTTGCTGATTTCAAATGATTTGTTTTGTGGACAGTGGAATTGTGTGATTGCAAAAGGCCCTCTTGAGATTCTACTTTTAACTTTATTTTGATTTCTAGAGAGAAAGTAGAATTTGAGGAGAACGTTCATCATTCTGATCCTTCCCTTTTATTCTTTTGAAATGAATGTTACTTGAATCTCAAAGCATTCAGGGGATCCTAGTGACCAAGGAAACAGGACTGGAATGGTGGTCACAGCCTTGAGTTATCTGCTGGCTTGTCCAGTGTTTGGCTGTGTAACCTGGGAAGACATTATCCATCTGTTTATTCTCCTGTAAAATGTGGGTTTGGGGGTGAGAAAGTGCATGGAGTGGTGGTTGATCAAACAGTATTTTTCTAGGCATCCTTTGTCATCAACAGCCTATGTGTCTCTGCTTTCTTTCCCACCTCCTCAGCCATCAGATGGCATCTCATGACCATCTGCAAGTTTCCATAGTTCCTTCTTCTGGGGCCTGCACAACAACTCGGGTTTGAGTCTTATCCTCTGCAAACCTGCTACCTTTACACACTGATGTAGGAATCACTTCTGGAAAATATCGGCTGCAGGATCCAAATGCTGGAACTTACCCTCTCCACTCTCTAGCTATCAGGCTGGGACTGGGTTTTTATCAGATACACTGTTTCCCTTTATTTAGCAGGTATTATTTACCGTAATTCAAAACAGGATATGATATGAAATTTTAGGCACTATGGTACTGTGGCTGAATAGCTTAAAGGTAAAGCAATGCCCCCCAAACATTAAAATGAGGAGAAAAGCTTCAGGAACTTGTTAAAATGCGGTTTCAGTTGCATAGCACTAGGGTAGGGGATGCACTCTGCAACTTCTAGCAACTTCCCAGGAGATACTGATGCTGGGAGTAGAAAGGGTGGAAAATACTTGTCGGGATTCTGAGTGCCAATTGTTATTCTATCACTTAATAATTCTGACCTTAAGCAAGTTACTTAGCCTTTCTGCCCCTCTGTGTCTTTTTACCTAAAGTGTTAACAGTCATAGTACCAGCTCCCAGGCAGTATGGAAGGGAGAATCCATAGCGTTTTACAGTTTGGACCCCACTGAGCCCTGACAGATGTATTATTTTGGTAAGCAGATCAATGTCTGAACCCAAAGGGTACCTCTCCTTTCCACTTGTACAGGGCTTCAGTCTGGAGCCATCTGTGATATTTTCTCTATCAGGTTTCCTGGAATTTCATATGTTTTAAATATTGATATTTGTTCCTTAAAAGTTAAGATATATTAGGCAAAAACAGACCCAAATGCACCTGCATAAGAAATTGAGATCCGTTTAGAATACACATACTCATGTAACTTCAGAAATCCTTGATAAATCCAAAAGATAGGAATGAATTTACTTTGTGCCCATGTCCCAAACTTCCTGGGTGTGGGAAGGCAGTGTCGACGTGTTAATGTAAATTGACACAGTGGAGAAATCCAGTTTGTTTGCATTTTAAATAAAGAGAGAGATACAGCTAGCTTCCAACCCTGATTGGTTCTGCTAGCAGAACTCTAGGGTAGTTGAACTGGGAACTATCGTTGTCTCCAGGGACACTGTTCACATTCTCCCTTCATTTTAAGTGTGATAAGATCTGCATGAAATATTTTATTGTTACTGTTCCTGAGGTTCTAAGATGCTAATGAAATTGTGTGTACCTAAAAATGAAGGCTTATCTTCACCTTAAAATTGCTTAGAATGCTGTGAGCTGTCTGAGAGAATTTTTGTCACCGAATAGACTTTTGAGATCCCACCCATGAGACTAGAGCCCTCTACGGCCAGAAGAGAAATTTTTAGTGACTTCTGAGCCTATATAAATCTACATTTCAGTGCCTTGCATATAAATTAAACTTTCATATTATGGGTTTTAAATTAAATTCATTACCCCTGCTCCCAGTTCTACTGACAGTTGGAAACAGGTGTGCAAGGCTTCTGAAGTCTACAGTCATTTTATTGGTAGAATTTGTGGTATGAGGCAGATAAGGGAAGATGCCAAATAATTGAGGTAAATTTTTCTTAGCTGCTAATAAGACCAAATGTTTAGTGACAGATTACTACGATGATAGATACAGTTTTCAATTAATTATCTCAAAGCAATATCAGTATCTCCATTTTACAGATGGGGAAACTGAATTACAGGGTGGTTAAACACTTGCTCTAAGGCACATAACTGGCACAGTACACAGCTAGCATGAGAAGCAAGGTGGAATTGATTTCATGCTCTTGGCCCCTACACAAGAGTTCTCAGATGGAAGTGTGCATCAGAATCACCTGGAGAGCTGGTCAGAGGTTGCTAGGGTTTCCCCTAGAGTTTCTGATTAGGTGGGTCTGGTTTGAGGTTTACAATATTGTATTTGTTTCATGAATTCCCAGGTGATGTCCCTGTGTCATGAAGAAGCATACCATGAGGAACTGCTGCTTTACCCTGTGGTGTCTTTATTTTTATTCTGGTAAAATATGTGTGATGATTAATTTTAAGTGTCAACTTGATTGGATTGAAGGATGCAAAATATTGTTTCTGGGCATTTCTGGGTGTTTCTGGGTGTTGCCAGAAGAGATTAACATTTGAGTCAGTGTACTGGGAGAGACTCACCCACAATATAGGTGGGCACCATCCAATCGGCTGCCAGCGCAGCTAGAGAAAGCAGGCAGAAGAAGGTGGAAGAAGCTGACTTGCTTTGTCTTCTGGCTTTCATCTTTCTCCCATGCTGGATGCTTCCTGCCCTTGAACATCAGATTCTGAGTTCTTGGCCTTTGGACTCTTGGACTTAACACCAGTGGTTTGCCAGGGACTCTCCTGCCCTCAGCCACAGACTGGAGGCTGCACTGTTGGCTTCCCAACTTTTGAGGTTTTGGGACTCAGACTGAGCCACTACTGGCTTCCTTGCTCCTCAGCTTGCAGACAGCCTGCCTTGGGACTTTACCTTGTGACCATGTTAGTAAAATCTCCTTAATATACTCCCCTTCATAAATACATATATCCTATTAGTTCTGTCCTTCTAGAGAACCCTGATAAATACAATATGCTTAACATAAAATTTACCATTTTAACCATTTTTAGGTGAAGAGTTTAATGAAATAAAGTACATTTACCATCCCCCTCCAGAACGGTTTCATCTTCCCAGACTGAAACTTTGGGTGCATTAAACACATGTCCCCATTCCCCTCAGCACCCCCAGCGCCCTCAGAGCCAACATTCTCCTTTCTGCCTCTGTACACTTGATGAGCCTAGGTACCTCATATAAGTAGAAGTAGAATGTTGCACTACTTTTCCTTTTTGTGACTGGCTCGTTTTACTTAGGATAGTGTCCTCAAGGTTCATCCATGTTGTAGCATATAATTTCCTGTCTTTTTAAAAGGCTGATATCCATGATATTAATATGCCAGATATTTTTAATCTCTATATTTCCTTTTAGAGATTGAAGCCATTCTCTCCAAGATTAGAATACCCCTTGCTCCCACAGAGACTGAGGACTTGGTGGCTGTGTGCATTGTAGATGCCCCTTCCTGGGTCCTTCCTGCACAAACAGGTTCTCCCTGTTACTCCAGCTGCTCTGACCACAATCTCCAGGGTGGTTCTCACTGTTCCCGATTTCCCAAAGCAAGGAAATGAAACTGACAGAAAGAAAAGCCTTTATTCTTGGTTGGATGTGATGGGACAATGATTATAAAAATTGTGTTTGAAAAGACAAATTTCTATATAACTATCAGCTCTTGTGATGCCTCAAATAGTATTTTGAAGCCTTAATACATGCTTTTTATTTGGAGAGAGGGTGTAAGGATTTTCTAAGATACTTCCCCTGCTTTTTCCATTTCTACTAATGATGTTTGGTAAATGTTAAAATACACAAAACTTATTTTGAAAGAGCTTTCCTGACATTCTTGTCTTGTATTCTGACCAAAGGGTATCTATGATTGAATTATCACATTGAGGAGCAGAATCGATGTTGTGACACTACTCTGTAGTGGAAACAGAGGATAGATTTTCCTTTATAACAGAGGCTTTCCATTGTCAAAATGTGATGCAATCAGATTTGACCTATCTATCAAGTTTTTGTTTCTACATGAAGAAATGTAGAAAGGTAAATATCTTTCTCTGAGTAAGAAGTTTTAAAGCTCATTTTAAAGATTTCATCAGTGCAGAACCATTTCTTAACGTATGCACAAGGATCTCTCTGATGATAATCTCTCTGATGAAACTTTAGTGTGCTTGAATAGATTTCTATCATGCAATTTGACTTTGTTTAAATCAGGATTCACGTGTGTGAAAATCATTTGCAAATTAAAAGTCTTTCAAAAGGCCATGGTTTAACATTTTGAGATGTGACATCATAATTGAGAACTTAATATATAGCAGGTGAAAGTGTTCATTGACTGAAATGCACAGTTTTAAGATATTTGATATTTATTCATAGTCTCATCATTTTTATATCGAGGTAATCATTTTCATAATTTTAATTTTTAATTAATTATTAATTTATTTTATTCGAGATAGAGTCTTGTTCTGTCATCCAGGCTGGAGGGCAGTGGCTTGATCTAAGCTCACTGCAACCTCCGCCTCCCAGGTTCAAGCAATTCTCCTGCCTCAGCCTCCCTAGTAGCTGGGATTACAGGCACCCATCAGCACGTCCAGCAAATTTTTGTATTTTTAGTAGAGACGGGGTTTCACCATGTTGGCCAGGCTGGTCTCGAACTCCTGACCTTGTGATCTGCCCACATTGGCCTCCCAAAGTGCTGGGATTACAGGTGTGAGCCACCATGCCTGGCCAAGTTGGAACATTTATGTTATGTTTTCATTGAATAATTTTTATTTTAACAATCTAGTTGCTTTTAACCACTGTCATCACACAGAAATACTTGGGAGCTTAGTTCTGTTGGTGACACCAACTCTACACTCTTCATCTGAGAGTTTTCAGTTGCTAATGTTCAACATGTAGGAATTCCTGAATTAGTCAATGAAATGAAATTAGACACTCAAATGTTCACATCTTGTCCATTCCATCATTCAGGGTTTTAGATGGGTTCACTCAGGATAAACTACGTCAATCTGAGATGGAGCATAAAGATACAAAATGGGAAACTTGTTGTAAAAGATGTCATCTATACAGTTTCATTCTGGACCTTCTTATCAGGATCTGAATTATTTTGTTCTGTAAATAATTTTTAAATAAATATTTGCTTCTTTCAGTTTTAGATAAGAATTACTTATTCTTGGAAGGAACAGTCCTTGAATATTGAATAAGTGCAACTCAGCAATGCAAGCAGCTGTGTTGTCCAGAGTAAATATCAGGGATGTTGGAGTGTGTGGCCTTGCAAACATACACACAATCTTGTGGCCTGAGGCACCATCAGTTTTGCTACAAGTGACAATAACCACTGTATAATAGATAAAGCTCACAATTCAGAAGAACCAGAGAATGGGCTTTTGGAATCTGCTCCCATTTGAATGGATTTTAGGAATATGCTTCCCTTTAAAGTTGTGGCTCTTGTCAGCAAAACATAAATTTTGAAAGCATGAATTCAAACTGAATGGCTTCCAGAAAGAGCACATGTATCTTCTATTATATGGAAACATGTAGAAAGTAAAATTTAAACACCATGCTTTGAGGCAGAAGACCCAGGGATTCTGATATAGTTTGGATATGGATATGTGCCCCTGCCCAAATCTCATGTTCTATTGTAATCCCCAGTTTTGGTGGAAGGGGGAGTGTCTGGTGGGAGGTGATTAGATTATAGGAACAATTTGTCATACATGGTTCAGCACTGTCATCTTTGTACTGTCTGTGCAATAGCAAGTTCTTGTTAACATCTGGTCTTTTGAAAGTGTGTAGCATCTCCTCCCTTGTTTACTTGCTCCTGCTTTTACCAAGTGATGAGCCTGCTTCCTCTTTGCCTTCTGTTATGATTGTAAATTTTCTGAGGCCTCCCCAGAAGGTGTTGTAGATGTTGCTATGCTTCCTGTACAGCCTGCAGAACCATTAACCTATGAAACCTCTTTTCTTTATAAATTACCCAGTCTCAAGTATTCCTTTATAGCAATGCCAGAACTGCTTAATACCGAAAATTGGTACCAAGGAGTGGATCATTGTTATAAAGATACCTGAAAATGTGAAAACAGCATTGGAATTGGTAACTGGCAGAGGTTGGAGGAGTCTGGGAGGCTCAGAAGAAGACAGGAAGTTGAGGGAAAGTTTGGAACTTCCTAGAGATTGGTTAAATTGTTGTGACCAAAATGCTGATAGTGGTATAGACAGTAAGGGTTAAGCTGATGAGGTCTCAGATGGAAATGAGAAACTTACTGGGAACTGGAGAAAAGATCATTTTGTTATGCCTTAGCAAAGAACATGGCTGCATTATGCCCCTGCTCTAGGAATCTGTGAAACTTTTAACTCAAAAGTGATGATTTACGGTATATAGTGGAAGAAATTTAAAAGCAGAAAAATGTACAAGAAGTGACCTGGCCACTCTTAGCAAGTTGTATTCAGATATGAGAGCAAATAAATGACTTTAAGCTGGAACTTATATTTAAAAGGGAAACAGAGAGTACAAGTTTGAAAACTTTGTAGCCTGGAAAGCCCATTTTAAGGGGAGGAATTCAAGCAGCCTGCAGAAATTTGCATAAGTAAAAAGGAGCCAAGTGCTAATAGCAAAGGCAATGAAGACAAGGCCTGGGAAGTATTCAGAATCCTTTATGTCAGCCCCTTCCATCACAGGCCCGGAGGCTTATGAGGACTAAATAGTTTCATGGGTCAGGCCCAGGGCCCAGTGCCCTGTGCAGCCTCAGGACACTTTTCCCTGTATCCAGTTGTTTCAGCTCCAGCTGTGGATTGAAGGGGCCCAGGTATAGCCCAGGCTACTTGTATTAATCCATTTTCATGCTGCTGATAAAGACATACCTGAGACTGGGTAATTCATAAAGAAAAAGAGGTTTAATGGACTCATAGTTTTATGTGGCTGGGGAGGCCTCACATTCATGACAGAAGGTGAAAGGCACATCTCACATTGTGGCTGAAAGAAAGAATGAGAACCAAGTGGAAGGGGAAATCCCTTATCTAATCATCAGATTTCATGAGACTTATTCACTACCACGAGAACAGTATGGGGGAAACCGTCCCCATGATTCAATTATCTCCCACTGGGTTCCTTCTACAACACATGGGAGTTATGGCAGCTAAAATTCAAGATGAGATTTGGGTGTGGACACAGTCAAACCATATCACTGCTGCTTTGGAGAGCACAAGCCTTAAGCCTTGGCTTCCATGTAATATTAAACCTGCAGGTGCACAGAATGCAAGAATTAAGGCTTGTGAGACTCTGTCTTGATTTCAGAAGATTTACAGAAAAGCCTGGATGTCCTGGCAATAGCCCCCTGCAGAGGTGAAGCCCTCATAGAGACTCTCTACTATAGCAGTGCATAAGGAAAATGTGGGGTTGGGGCTCCCATGGAGATTCTCCACTGGGGCACTTCCTAGTAAAACTGTGAGAAGAGGGCCACTATCCACCAGACCCCAGAATAGTAGATCCACCAACAGCTTGCACCCTGCACGTAGAAAAGTCACATGCACTCAGTGTCAGCCTGCGATAGCAGCTTTGTGGGCTGAACCCTGCAAAACCACAGGGGTGGAATTACTCAAGGCCTTGGGAGCCTGCCCCTTGCACCAGTGTATCCTGCATTTGGGACATGGAGTCATAGGAGATTATTTTGGAGCTTCAGGATATAATGTCTGCCCTGCTGGGTTTTGAACTTGCATGGACCCTGTAGCCCCTGTTTTTTTGGCTTTCTCCCTGTTGAAATGGGGGTACTTACCCAATGCATATATACCCACTGTATCTTGGAAGCAACTAACATATTTCTTATTTCATGGGCTCAAAAGCAGAAGGGACTAGCCTTGTCTTATATGAGACTCTGGACTTTAGGCTTTTAAGTTAATGCTAGAATGAGTTAAGACTTTGGGAATTATTGGGAAGGCATGGTTGTAGTTTGAAATGTGAGAAGAACATGAGATTTGGAAGGGGCCTAGGGCAGAATGACATAATTTGGATTAGTGTCCCCACCCAAATCTCATATTGAAATGTAATCGCCAAAATTGGAGGTGAGGCCTGGTGAGAGGTAATTACGTCATGGGGGCAGTTTCTCACGAATGATTTAGTACCATCCCCCTTGGTACTATACTCACTGTAGTGAGTGAATTCTTTTCAGATATGTTGCACCTCCCCCTGATTCTCTTGCTCCTGCTTTTGTCATGTGATGTGCCTGTTCCTGCTTTGCCTTCCGCCATGATTTTAAGTTTCCTGAAGCCTCCCCAGAAGCTAAGCAGATGCCTTTATGCTTCCTGTACAATCTGCAGAACTGTGAGCCAACGAAACCTCTTTTCTTTAAAAATTACCCAGTTTCAGGATTTCTTTATGGCATTGCAAGAATGGCCTAATACAGGCTTTTGTTGTTGTTGTTGTTGTTTTCATTTTTCCTATAAAAGACTAGCTTTTGTCTAAGAGTAGGGGAAAATATGGTTCTGTGGTGCCGTCTTGTCTTCTTAAACACAACATGAGGGTCTGGATTCAACCAGAATCTCCTTCTAGCATTGAGCACACAGGGAGGAACAGAACAGACCCCAGGCAGGCAAATCTGCCAGATGAGAAAGACATTATACAAATCTACATCAAATAAATAACAAATGAGTGCAAATAGTGACAAGGACCGTGAAAAACAAACATAACTTTAGACCATATTGTTCAGTAGTTCGATGTTGAGAGCACTCTGAAGACATCAAAGGGCCCCTTAAGGAGTTGTTATTAAACTCTACAAATAGGTTTTGATCTTAAACTGCCAGAAAACTATCATTTTCTATGTTATTATTATTGTTTTTATAAATCTCTTAATATATGTTTTAAGGTCTGACTTAGCCATTCTTCTAGAAAATACCACTCAGTGCTTTCAGATCCCATCTTCATTTCTGGCTTTCGGGGTTGGAGTCCCTTTTAGTCATTGGACAGCTGTTCTCACAGATCATCAAAAATCTGTTCAGATTTATTCAGAATGGCATCTGAGAAAGCATCAAAGCAAGAGTCTTGTCCTCCTTCAAATGAAGAGAACTCTTCATCTACCAGAGATGTGTTTGTTGCGGCATGTGTAGGGTCACAGAACCTCAATTCTGATGGCTTCCTTGCTTACTAGCTTGATTGGTTGACTGATTGCAGAGACAGAGATGCTTAGAGGCTTCTGAGGAAACCAAAGAAGGTGGCAGCTGATGCTGATGGATTCTAGGCTCAGTTTATGAAACTTCTCTCACCCCAAAGTGAAGACATACTGAGGGTGAAAAAGACAAAATAGTTTAAGGAAAGGATATGGATAGATATTTGAGTTAAGGACCTGTGATGGTTAATAATGAGTGTCAACTTGATTGAATTGAAGGATGCAAAGTATTTTTCCTGGGTGTGTCTGTGAAGGTGTTGCCAAAGGAGATTAACCTTTGAGTCAGTGGGCCAGAAGGCAGACCCACCTTCAATCTGAGTGGACACCATCTAATCAGCTGCCAGTGCAGCCAAAATAAAATCAGGCAGAAGAACATGGAATGATTAGACTGGTTTAGTCTTCTGGCCTACATCTTTCTCTCATGCTAGATGCTTTCTTCCCTCGAACATCAGACACGAAGTTCTGCAGTTTTGGGACTCAGACTGGCTTCCGTGTTCCTCAGCTTGCAGGCAGCCTATTGTGGGGCCTCACCTTGGGTTCATGTGAGTCAATACTCCTTAATAAACTCCCCTTTATGTATAGAACTATCCTATTAGTTCTGGCCTTCTAGAGAATGCTGACTAACACGGGACCCAACCCATAGCAATTGCTGTATTTTACTTCATGAGCTAAAAACACTGGTAGTGTATTGGAATCATCTTATGAGCTGAAAAACCTACAGTACCTGTGGTCCATCCAAGACCAATTAAATCAATGTCTATACAAGGTTACAGGTATCCTTCATACAGACAGATGAGATCACAATTTGAAATTAATATCATAAACGTATTCTTACAATGGAGGACACTGACTCACAAAGAAATCCAGATCTTGATAAGAAACCAGACTTGAAAGTATGTAGATAGGCTGGGCAACCCATTTACTGACTCAAGAATGGAGATGTGATAATAATTTAAGGGATTCCATTGGAATGCACAGGGAGCGCAGAAGAAATGAACTGGAGACAACAACAGTACCCTAACTTGATGTATGGCTGGACCCTGAAATAAAGTAGCAGCGTAGATAAAGCAGAAAAGGGTGTGAAGAGAGCTCTTATTTCACATTTGTAAATGCTCCTTAATATAAACATGGGAAGAGAGGATTATGAAGGAGAAAGGTTTAGGCTGATTACATGTTTCTTTTGGGGGAATTGGATGGGCAATAGTGTCGTTCTCTAAGATGGGTGCTTGTTCATCTTATTCAGTAAGGGAAATAAAAGAATTGGGAAATGGAAATGGGTTCACTTTGGACACAGTGTATGTGGGATACAGCAAATCTGGAAGTTAGGAGAAATTTGAAATGGAGAGATTGAGTGTGTTATTTTGCAAAAAGCTGGTAGTTAAAGTTCCAGGAGTTGATAGGATCACTAAAGTTTTACCTAAAGATTGGAGAACAAAGAAGCTATGGTTACAAAGTAAGAACACACCAAGATTTAAGTGATGGACAGAGGTAGATTACTGAAGTAGAATTGTACATGGCTGGCATTTTGAGCACTATATTAGTCATAGTTCTCTAGAGGGACAGAATTAATAGGAGATACATACACATACATACATATATATATATATATATATATATATATATATATATATATATATACACACACATATGGGAGTTTGTTCAAAGTATTAACTCACATGATCACAAGGTCCCACAATAGTCCATCTGCAAACTGAGGAGCAAGGAAAGCCAGTCAGAGTCCTAAAATTGAAGAACTTGGAGTCCAATGTTCGAGGGCAGGAAGCATCCAGCATGGGAGAAAGATGTATGCTGGGAGGCTAAGCCAGTCTGGTCTTTTCACATTTTTCTGCCTGCTTTATATTCTGTCTGTGGTGGCAGCTGATTAGAAGATGTCCACCCATATTAAGGATGGGTCTGCCTTTCCCAGACTACTGACTCAAATGTTAATCTCCTTTGGCAACACCCTTGCAGGCATACCCAGGATCAATACTTTGGATCCTTCAATCCAATCAAGTTGACACTCAGTATTAACCACCACAAGCACCAAGAACATCTTGTGATTTAAACACCTGTACTAGTAATAATTCAATCTTTTAAGAAAAGGGAAGAGAAGGGCTTTGATTTTAAAATGACTATACAACTAATTCAAAATTTCGTTGAGTATTGAGTCTATTTTCTTCACAATCACATTTCTGGATGATCAAAGAGAGAATTCCAAATGCGGTTTCTCTTTTGTACTCCATGAGTAATTGGATCTCTCCTGTGATTAAAACTCTCCATGGCATATGTGTTTCTCTGAGCCTTAGCATAAAGAACATAAGCTGATTTATAAAGCCTCCTTACCACTACAATCCAGAAACAACTGTTAGTAACACTGGAGTGAAAGCCAGATTCCAGGCTTTCTCAAAACCAGATCACTCCCTAGTGTGGCTAAAAATCCCCCAGGAGCCCAGGAGGAGACAGCATACCGAGCTGAGAATAAGAAGTGTGGGGGCACCCAGATGAAGGTTATTTTTACAGTGTTTTATTAAAAAATGAGGGCCCAGACAGGATTTTGCTGACAGTTTTCCTAGATCAATTAGTTGTTATATGAGATACTCCTCTTTCTAAGAACAATTATTGAAAATGAATTTCCATCCATTAAAACCCCTATACTTTTCACTCATTTATTCAATAAATATTTTTTGCATTTTTGCCATGTACCTACATCTGAACTAGACTTAATAAATGTGTAAGATACATACCTGTCATCCAAGGCCTACTCGAATATATGCATGTTTCAACTTTCCTGCTAATTTACATAGCACATTTTATTTTGTTCCTTATAAAGTATTCAGTACTAAAAATTAGAACATAAGTGTTTCTTACTTTCAAATTACCACATATTTGTGGTATTTTGTTCACTCATTCTTTGTTCTGAGTTTGTTCACACAAGTAAATTTTGTGAACTAATTTATTTAGTGTTCAAATCCTAAAATTCATCAAAAGCAGATCAATTACAAATCATCTTCCTCATTGCTTTTCTTATTCCATTATATGTTGCTGGTTATATCATTTTTTCTTAGAATGGTATTTAAAATTTTTATTTCTAAAAATACAAATAATAAATGGTCTTTCTAAAGCCTTTATTTTTCAAATAATTATAAAACTAAGCATTGAAAATCTTCTTATAATCTTTAAATGCAATGATTTTTATTAACTGCTGATGCATATTCCTTCCATGTTTTTTCCTACTTTTATTCATATAATTTATGCTATTTTTGTTCCAAAGCGATTATAACATACACATAAATCTACCTCCTTCCTTTTAAAAGTATCATGTGCAACATCCGTGTGATTAATTTTCTACCTAAGCTCAACAGCTACATAATGTTTTGCATTACCACATGTGTCATCTGCTTTCTAGAGAATTGTGAGAGAATAAATTTCTGTTGTTTTCAACCACCATGTTTGTATTAATTCTTACAATAGTCACAGAAAACCAGTGCAGGAACTATAATCTTTCCCTTAGGATTTTGAAGTATAGATCTATCAGGTTTTCAGAAAAGAAAAAATACCTACTTCTTCCACTTTCTTATCTGTTGTGATTAAAAACTATTATTTTCCAGTCAACCAGGAATCTGTATTCAATATAGAAATAAAGTTTCTGTCCCCATATATTTGGCTGAAGTGGAGACTAGTGTGATTGACAAGATACCAGACCACTCATGGATTTCAGGTCACAGCCCATAACTCTAAAATAATCACTGAATATTTATTCACTATGGCACTACATGGGTGGATGGGTAGAATTCATGTATAATAAAAGGGTCTGCCCTCCAGAATTGAGAACCTAATTAGGAGAGGGGAAAAAGTTAGAAAAGCTATGTGTGTGCTACTGGATCATAAGCTCCTCCAGGGCAGGGCTTTGAATGTCTTTTATCCTTAGTATGCAGAAAAGTGTCCAATAAGCAGATATCATTTACAAGGTCACTTTGTCAGTTACATGGTAATATGGTTAGGATTTATGCCCCCACTCAATTCTCATCTTGAATTGTAATACCCATAATCCCCATGTGTCAAGGGGGAGACCAGGTGGAGGTAATTGAATCATCAAGCGTGTTTCCCTGTGCTATTCTTGTGATAGTGAGTGAGTTCTCACAAGATCTGATGGTTTTATAAGGGGCGCTTCCCTCTTTGCTCGGCATTTCTCCTTCCTGCTGCCTTGTGAAGAAGGTGCTCGTTTTCCCTTTGCCTTCTGCCATGATAGTAAGTTTCCTGAGGCCTCCTCAGCCATGCAGAACTGTGAGTCAATTAAACCTCTTTCCTTTATAAATTGCCCAGTCTTGGGCAGTTTATTATAGCAGTATGAAATGGAGTAATACACAGGTTGAGTTACACAATGTGGGTAATGTAGAAAATACACAATGAGGGAAGAACAAGAGAGGTTCCAGGGACAGGGAGTCCCAGAGGCAGCAGGTCTCACTCAAAGTCCATGAAGAAGAATGAGACCTCCTGGGCAGAGTCTGTGGGGGCAGCACCTTGCACTTTCTTTTCTCTGAGCCACTTTCAGCTCTTGGCACTGAGATGCTCATATGTTGAATGAGAGAGTACCAGGAGAAATGGATACCTTGAAACCAGTAACACAGGAAATGAAGAGTTGGGAAGATTTTCTCTGTTCACTGTGAGACTGTTCCTACTGGGCTTGAAATTCACTCCTAATCCTGTTGTGGAGTGAACTGTACTCCTCAAAAGAAGATAAGTTCAAGTCCTAGCCCCAGTACCTGTGAATTGGCCTTATTTTGAAACAACATCTTTGCAGATATAATCAAGATAAGATGAGTTCGTAATGAAGTAGAGTGGGCCATAAGTTGAATATGACTAGTGTCCTTATTAGAAAAGGAGAAGAGACACAGGAAGAATGTCATGTGATAACAGAGGCAAAGACTGGAGAGAAGCATCTTCAAGTCAAGGACAGCAAGAAGCTGGAAACCATCAGAAGTGAGGAGAGAAGTGAGCAATGATCTACCTCTACAGCCTTCAGAGAGCACATGGCCCTACCAACACCCTGATCTCAGACTTCCTGCCTCCAGAACTGTGAGGATACATTTGCATTCTTTTAAAATCTGAAATGCCTCATGAATTTGCATGTCATCCATGTGCAGGGGCCATGCTAATCTTCTTTGTGTCATTCCAATTTTAGCATTTGTGCTGTGGAAACAAGCGCCATTTGCATTGTTTAAAGCAACTCAGTTTGTGGACTCTGGGTGGGCAGCCACAGGAAGCTAATCTAGGTCCCAACATCCATCTAGACTGTGATGCACACTCTTGTTCCTCCCACCTGAAAAAACTGCCTCCCCTGCAGATCTCTCCAGAGGTGGTCATGTTCTCCCTACAATTCTCATTACCACTGAGCTTAAAGGGAGGTAGAACGCCTACTAACTAACTATTCCTTCATTTCATTTTCTGGCCGTTCTTTCTTTCTCCTCCCCGAAAATCCCCAGCTCTAATCTCATGTTGTCATGTTGCTGTTTTCTTCCAATGACTGGCTTATTGCCCTATATTTTAAGACAATTTTAGCTCATGGCCCATTATCTCAAGTTTTACATGGACTTAATTCCTCACAATTTTTTTTTTTTTTTTTTTTTTTTTTGAGATGGAGTCTTGCTCTGCCGCCAGGCTGGAGTGCAGTGGCGCGATCTCAGCGCACTGCAACCTCTGCCTCCCGGGTTCAACCGATTCTCCTGCCTCAGACTCCTGAGTAGCTGGGACTACAGGCAAGTGTGACCACGCCCAGCTAATGTTTGTATTTTTAGTAGAGACGGGCTTTCACCATGTTGGCCAGAATTGTCTCGATTTCTTGACCTCATGATCTGCCCACCTCGACATCCCAAAGTGCTGGGATTATATGTGTGAGCCACCGTGCCCAGCCCCCTCACAATTTTTAATATGTTTTTAGATGACCCTTTTAACATCTTGACCTTCAGAGTTCCAGAACTCCTCTTTTTGAAAGAGCTCGTTCTTGGTGCTACCTTGGTTATTTGTTCTCATGGACATAGACTCAATAAAACCTTCCTATTTTAACAGCTATCTCCATTTTATATCACTAGCCTAACAAAGCTTTACCCTCACTGGGATTTTCTGTATATTGATCTTACAACGTGTCACTACCCTTCACCCTCTTGATATTTGTGCTTTTCTCCCTACCCAGCCTACATTTTGTGGTTAATCTATACGAAACTCCTGCAAACACTCTTGACTCCTTTGCTCCTCTCTTCAACATACTTTAGTGGCAAAACTACAACTCTGGTTGAATCCAAACTTTTGCTGACCAGATTTCTCTATTTTTGTAGCTGAATATGTTGGGGAAAAACAAGCAACTGCAGTGACCTGTTCTGAGGTGAGGTTCATGACCATGGGCCTTCGTGCTGCCAGGCAGTGATGCATACACGCACCACTACACATTGCTGGGTCAGTCAATTTCCCACTGTCCTAGACTATGATTTCTCACCGTCTCCTTTCTCCCCAAACTTTTAGCACTTCCTCTCCACTTCTTATGCTCAGCCTGCTGTCTTTCTTACTGAAAAAACTGAAGCAGTAGAAGGGAAATTCTTCAAGCTCCTATCACATCAACTTACGAACATCTCTATCAACATATTCTGGCTTCCTGTGTGTTACCACAGATGAATGTCTACGCTGTTATCTAAAACCAGACTCTGCAATTGTACACCAAATCCCATCCACTCCTGCTTATTCAAAATCATCACTGTAGCAATTTTTCCGCCTTCTCCTGCATTGTCAGTGTTTCTTTTTAAATAATGGTTTATTCTCAATGGCTTAAAAACATCATGTAATACTTCCTTCTGTCAAAACTTTTTTTCTTGACCTCACTTTCCCTGCATTCTATTTGTTCTCATTAGCAGCAGAAATCACCGGCATTACCTGTATTTGTAACGTCCAATCCTTCTCTTACTCTGCCTTAACTATTTTTAGATCATTTTTTTAAATTACAGAATAACTTTTTTCTTGAGTAACCAAAGATCACCACATAGCTAAATCCAGTGATCCACCATCAGATCTCATTTTACTGAACCTGTTAGCTGTATTTGAAACCTTTAATCAAACCTCCTCCTCTTCATCATCTTCACTTTCTTTGACCTATTGAAAGAGCAGGACACATAATTTTTCTTCTGACTTATTGACCACATTTTCTCCATAACCTTTGCTGATTCTGTCTCTTCTTCCTGTTCTCTTACTCCTGGGGTACTCTGGGGCCCTTGGCCCTCTTCTCTGTGTACACACGTTTGATGTCATCTACTCTCATATACCTTTAAACACTATCTCTGTGCTTCTAACTTGAACACTTATATCTGCAGCCCAGACTTCTTTTCTGAGCTTGCCTCAATATATACAACTCTGTACCTGGCATCTCACTTGTCTCATAAACATCTTAAACTCAACATGACATAAACTGAACTCATGCTCTTCCCCCCAAAAAAACACACTCCTTTCACTTGTAACCTTCTCTCTCTGTTGAAGATAATGAAATCCTTCTGGTTGGATTAGACTAAAAACAAAACAACAACAACAACAACAAATTTAGGATCATTTTTACCTCCTCCCTGTCTTCCCATGTTAATCTCTCAGGATAGATTGCCGTCTCTGCTTTTTAAGTGCTACTAAAACAATGGTTCACCCCACCATCCCGCTTTGCCCCAAAGGACAACAATCACCTACTAGCTGATCTTCCTGCCTCCACATTTGTCCTCTCTACTTAAGATTCAACATAACAGCCAAAGTGTTTTTTGTTTGCTTGTTTGTTTTAAGATATAAATCAGTCTGTGCTTCCTTTCCTTTACTCGTGACTCAAAACCCTTTCTTGGCTCCCTGTTTCACTCTAAGTGAAAGCCAAGATCCTCACAATGGCACGGCACTTAAGGAAGCCGCCTCCTTAACCTTTGCAACTTGGACCTGCAGGCTTCTACCTCATTCATCCTGCACAAGCCTCAGTGGCCATTTCTGGTTTTTTCCCTTTTTTTTTTTCTTTTTCTTTTTTTTTTTTTTTTTTTGAGAAAGAGTCTTGCTCCTTGCTCCGTCACCCAGGCTGGAGTGCAGTAGTGCAATGTCGGCTCATTGTGACCTCTGTCTCCCAGGTTAAAGCAATTCTCATGCCTCAGCCTCCTGAGTAGCTGAGATTACAGGCACGCGCCACCACGCCTGGCTCATTTTTGTATTTTTAGTAGAGATGAGGTTTCACCATGTTGGCCAGGCTGGTCTCAAACTCCTGACCTCATGTGATTCACCCACCTCGGCCTCCCAAAGTGCTGGGATTACAGGCGTGAGCCACGGCACCTGGCCTTCGCCAGCTCTTCATTTTGTAAGCACATCTGTCAAATCCAGTCTTCGGGTATTTCTACTAGCTGTCCCCTTGGAACACTCTTTTCTTCTCCTTATTGCCCTCAAGATCTTTCTCAAATATGTGTTTTTAGTGAGGGCTAATATGACCCCTTATTTTAATAACAAATTCTGCTTCTCACTTTTCCTGCAATCTCAACTCCTATCACTCTGTTGTTTTTCTTTTTAATAGGGTATGTTGCTTGATACTTCTGTGCACCATACTTTCTGCTTCTTGTCTGAATCCTCCTACTATAAGGTGAGTTTGGTGAGGCAGGGGTTTTCTTTCTTTCTTTCTTTCTTTTTCTTTTTCTTTTTTTTTTTTTTTGGTAACATACACCAAGCATCCAGAATAGCATCTGCAGCATTATTTTCTCCAGGTATTCATTGAGAGAACAAAATAAACCCATGCTTCGGTGTTTAAACTAGGAGGGCAATTCAAAACTCAGGCACCATGGTCCTTCCAACTGATTCAAACCAAGAACCTTAGTCATCCTTTTAGAATCACAGGTTAGAATCACTGCAGGGCCTTTAAAAATAAATGCTAATATCCGGGCCCCACTCCCAGACCAAGTCCACATGAGATCTCTGGGTGTGGAATCCGGGCAGGATGTTCTGGAGAAATTCCCAAGCGACTTTTCGGAGCCATCAGTAGGAAGAGCTACTGCCACAGTGAGACCGCCAGGTGGACTGGGGTGGAGCCACAGAAGTTTGCACCTTTTGCAGCTGGGAGGAGCCTGTCCCCTCCTCTTCCTGTGTGGAGTTTGGGATTCAAGCGGCGAGGCGGGAAGCACTCTAGTAGGGACTCTGGCCTTGCAGTGAGTCCCTGTTTCCACTTTTTTTCCTTTTCACCCAATAAAACCCTGCTTTACTCACCCTTCAAACCGTCTGCGAGCCTAAACTTTCATGGCCATGGGACAAGAACCCCGTCTTTAGATGAACTAAGACAAAGTCCTGTAACGATAAGTTCCTATGTCCTAAAACCTACTCCTGCCTCCTGTTTCCCATTCCTCAGGTGTTTAGGGAAAAGTGGTCACTCACTGAAACTGGGCAAAGGATGACCCCTTGACCCCAACTGGCTGAGACCAGTTCCCTGAAGGTGTCCACAGCCGCTAAGCTTTAGATCTTCAATTAAAACTGATTAAAGTGGATGTTTATTTCTCTTCTACTGCTGGGGTGTTCTGAATATGTTAGTTCCATGTTTAGGTTTGCTGTTTGTAAATTCTCTCATTCCAATCATCCCTCAACTTGTTCAGCACTGATGAAACAAGATGTTTTTCCTCAGGGAAATGTTTGAGATCTGATTCTGTGTGCTAATAGGTACCCAGACACCCCCTTGGCGTGTTCCTGAGTTCTGTTCCCATAGTTTACTCTGAATAAATTACGACATGTGGAGATAGGTCAGGAGTTTCAGTGACCTGTTTTTACTGAGACACTCTCCAGGCTTTGTCCCATTAGATCTGCTGAAACTTCTAGTTTCTTTCACTGTCATCCTACCTTCCTCTCCCTTCTCCCCATCAACCTCCACTTCTCTGAGAATCACAGGGTTCCAAGCAGTGATGATGCATCTTCACCCCAAGCATCTGGTCACCCATGTTTTACCCATGTTTAGATGTTTCACCCTGCTGCACAGAGAGTTTGTGGAAGGAACCTCTTCCTGTCTTCAGATTTGGGGTATTGGACTTCAAGGACTTGCCAGTGGTTTGCAGCATGGATGTGGCTAGAAATAGAGAACAGTGTTACCAATAGTCAGAGGCAAAGTCACGAGAAGGTCCCTGTGTCATGATTTCCTGTCAAGGGCCAATGTTTGTAGAGGATGCCACAGACTCATCCTAGTTTCACTGTATGAACAGAACACAGCGGAGTGCCATATTGCTTTGATCCATGTTCTAAGACTATATTTTCTTTGGTAGTATTTTTGGTAATACTGAACCAGAAAAGCTATTTAATGAGCTCTGTTGTTGTCCCATGGCAAAATGTACCAGTCTTATGACCGAGAGCATTTAACTTGCTATTCTGGAAGTCTTATTACATTTGATTTTCTACTTGAGACTTCTCTGGAGCTTATTCAACATAGGAAACAAATGCCTCCCAAATGATATTTTTATGCAGGGGTCTGTTTAATCTAGGAATAAAAGCATGTAGTGCATTTAGCCACAAGTCTATTTTTCCAGGAAAAAACACCATCAATTCTGACAACTTGAAGGTCAGGTGATGCTTTAAAGAGCTATCCCATTCAGCTAAAGTGGAAGCTTGAGTACAATGTTGTGTTTTAGGGCAAGAGTCTCCAACCCCTGGGCCACGAACTGATATCAGTTTGTGGCCTGTTAGGAACCAGGCCACACAGCAAGAGGTGAGCTGCAGGTAAACGAGCATTACCACCTGAGCTCTACCTCCTGTCAAATCAGCGGAGCGCAAACCCTACTGTGAGCTGCCCATTCAAGGGGTCTAGGTTACATGCTCCTTATGAGAATCTAATGCCTGATGGTCCGAGGTGGAACAGTTTCATCTTGACCCTCCCAGCCCCGTCCATGGAAAAGTTGTCTTCCATGAAACCGGTCTGTGATGCCAAAAAGCTTAGGGATCACTGTTTTAGGGCATGTGTCTGGGTGGAGGTCTGTGTGTACATGTGCGTGTTAATGTGCGTGCTTTTGGTGTGTGTGTGTGTGAAGGTACATCATAACCTGCTGTGCTTGGTGTTCAAGCTTTCGATAATCCTTCTATTGCTGATTAGCAATAGTTTCTGTTCATTCCTCGTGGCATTATTCTCATTGCAACTCAGGGTCTGTAAGCAGAAGGATGGATACTCCTCCCACGTCCTTTCCGTGCCTCAGGGCCTCCTGTGGCTTCAGTTACATTTCAGCCTTTCCTACCAGCTGTCCTCCAAACTGAGATGTGGGGATGAGTGTCCTCTGCCCCACGGAAGTATGAAAAGCCTCAAAGCCTGTGTATCCTTTGACCCAGCAATTTCAAATCTACATACATCCTACAAAAAGCACTGGGGATGTGTAGAAATATGAGGAAGTAAGGATGTTTAAGGTATAAAATCGCCAAAGCCTTTCATTTGAGAATGAGTGTGGCACTCCTTCTTTCTTATATTATTATTGCACAGGTCACAGCATATGAGTTTGTCTATAATACTTTTTATTTTTTGATCTTTTGGTTCCTTTAAAGCAGAGGGAGCTCTCCATGATTTTAAAGTAACTCAAATGATGATTCATGTTAAACTTTGAATTTTTCTTTAGTCTTTACAAGTTACCTTGCTTACATATTTTTGAACAACAGTGGTCTTCTTTATATTGTCCTTCCCTCCATCTTTTAATTTTCTTTCTTTTACTCTTTTTTCCTCCCTTTTGCTTTCAGAGTCACCTTAATGGAATCACTGAATTTTTACAAAGCTTCTACTGAGCTTTCATCTCTTATGAAAACAACTAACTTTTCAAAAAATGGTGCAATTACAATAGCAGATATAAATGTCTTAAAAGGTAGATAAGAACTGAAGCTGAATTCCAGGAAGCCTCACATGCCCAGTGGGAGTAAAATGGGCAGTCCCCCTGGTGAGGGGCATGCAGCTTTGGTGAAAGCTGCAGCCTCTGTACAGCAAGAGGAGCACCCCCACTCTCCCCATCCCCTGCCCCGGCCCCATCGCCGCCTCCAGGTCCTCACAGCAGATGCATGGAGCTGAGATAACCAGGCACCAGCTGGCAATTCCAGATAGAGAGTTTCCTTATTGGCAGAGGATGCAGAGATCCACAGACAGTGTTAAAGCCTGAGCTTTAGCAATAGCACAGGTTCATCACGCTCCGGGATGGAGGTGTGGTTTCCGGGTCCATAGAGCTGTATGTGATTCCAAGAACATGGAGCCTGGAGTGAAAATTCCAGGCAGAGTGAAAATTTCCCTTCTGACGATTATTAGGAGACTGAGTTAAGTGGCAGTGGCGGGTTGAAACCTAGCTTCAGGCTCCTTTGCATTCCACAAATCTACTGAGTCCATTGAACGCACTTCTTGTTGCCTGTATGTGTTTTCTAAATTTCATAAACTAAGAGCAATAAAGAGGGGAAGATCTATTTTAACGAAATAGTTAGATATTGTTTTTCCCCAGTATCTATCTGATATTCTTCATCTGGTTTTCACTCAGTTGATAGAGAAGCGGTTCCACCTGTTTTCTCTCCACCCATGAGCAGAGCATCAAGTGAGAGTTCGGAGTTAGCTGAATTTTGCAAAGGACACTCGGGCCTTGGGCTGGTGCTGTTTGACAGTGTCTGTGAGGGAGGGGAGAATGCCCAGGCAGGAAAGAGTTAGGAGTTGGATCCAGGCCTGTTGCACAGGGAGCCCCTGGGGCCTCAGCATTCCACAGCTAGCTCTGCAGTGTAGTGACTCTGTGACCTTAAGCAAACCACATAATAAACCATCTCAACATCCTCACAGGGCTCCTTTGCTGTTTTTCACCCAAACGTTTTGAGAGACTTGGAAATAGCTCAAGGCCTTGTTTTGCCAATAATTGCCTCAGGTCAATGACAAATCATTACCAAGTAGTGAAAACCTCCTCTCTCCTGAGTAGTCAAAAAAGATGGAATGCTTCGAAATGCACAACCTCTAGGAGGGGAGGTTGTGCTTTATCTTTTCCCCCCAGGTAAGATTTCTATTTGGATGTATTTTCTTCCCTCCTAACATCCCAGTCAAGAAGGATGAGAGAGAATAGTGAGCATGAGAGACGGGGAAGTTTGTGGACTTGAACTGATGAAGATTTTCACATTCTGAAAATACTTTAAATGCACTTTCAGACTGTCCATGCCAAAAGGGATCTAAGATCCTAGGAAAAGTGCTGAGAAGTTCATGGAGAGACCTGATATTAATATGAGGACCAGTAATCAATGTCTTTATTGGACACCATCGTATAGTCAGAGAAAGCTGTGCTCCAGGCTTTGCCACTTAAAAGCAGTAGAAATTCAAGAAATTTAATTACCCTCTCTTCCTTAATTTCTTCATCTGTTAAATATGAAATATACCTGACCTTGTAAGAATATTTGCAGAAAAACCCATGCCAGTCACATAGCAATTACCCAATAAATGTTAGCTGCTCACAGTGTTGATCATAGCCACCAGGGGGGCCCTGATGTTGTGGGCCCTCTAGGCTCTCGAAGATCCTAGTCCAGCAGCTTACAAGCATGGGAGCAGAGCAGCTGGGGGTCTTTTTCCTCACAGAACATTGAGGCCAACTCTCACAATTCTTTCCGACCCTCCACCTTCTGCCCCATCATGGATCTAGTGCATTGCTCAAAATACCCTCAATGATAAACTGTTAGAGCTTCAAAGGAGTCTTCAACAGCATTTAATCAGCCTCCTCATTTTGCAGAGAAGAACACAGAGGTCCAGATGTTGACTATGATTTTCCAAGGTGTCTTTTGCATGGCCTCAGACCTCAGAATCCCAGGAGTTTACCTATGATCTGATAAAAGAAAAATTTTAGACAAATTAAATTTAACAGAGTTTAATTGAGCAAAGAATGATTTGCATATCAGGTAGCCCCTGAACTAGAATAGGTTCAGAGAGACTGGTCCAGCCACGTAGTGAAAGATTTATGGACAGAAAGCAAAAAGTGAGGTACAGAACACAGAAGTGAGGTACAGAAACAGCCAGATTGGTTACAGCTCAGCACTTCCCTTATTTATACATGGTTTGAACGGTTGGCTGCCTTAGACTGACCAAAACTCAATGATTGGTACAAGAGTAAGTATAGTCTGTTTACACATCCAGCTAGGTGACAGTTCACCATGTATAGAGAGACCTTTAGGCTGAACTTAAAATATGTAATGGGACGGCTTTAGGGTAAACTTGATTTAACAGATCCAATCAAAGGTCTTTAGGGTTCCATATTGGAGTAATGGAACTATGTCTTCCTCTTGCTTCTCCCTTTTCTTTCGAAACCAGAATTTTCCAAATACCTCGTTCTCTTACAGTACAATTTCTCTAAGTGGTTATTCAGCAGTGAGTGGGGAGTATGGGTAGGAGAGAGGGTTGCATGCTGTAAAAATCTATAGAAAACAAATAGGAAAATGAAGGGCTCTTCAAAAGGTCAAGCATTTCGCATTCAAAGGCTTTCAGGGATGAGTCAGGGAAGAGATTTGCTAGAAAAGTGTTACCATTAAACACTTGTTCAGAAGAAGTGGATCTATCCATATTAATGCTCCTCTTCCTGATGGCTGGCTCTGCTCTATATGCAATCCCAGTGAGAGGTGACAGCGTGCTGGCAGTCCTCAGAGCCCTCGCTGGCTCTCGGCACCTCCTCTGCCTGGGCTCCCACTATGGCGGCACTTGAGGAGCCCTTCAGCCCACCGCTGCACTGTGGGAGCCCCTTTCTGGGCTGGCCAAGGCCAGAGCCGGCTCCCTCAGCTTGCAGGGAGGTGTGGAGGGAGAGGCACGAGCGGGAACCGGGGCTGCACACGGCGCTTGCGGGCCAGCTGGAGTTCCGGGTGGGCGTGGGCTTGGCGGGCTCTGCACTTGGAGCAGCCGGCCGGCCCTGCCGGCTCCGGGCAATGAGGGACTTAGCACCCGGGCCAGCGGCTGCGGAGGGTGTACTGGGTCCCCCAGCAGTGCCAGCCCACCGGAGCTGCGCTCGATTTCTCGCCGGGCCTTAGCTGCCTTCCCGAGGGGCAGGGCTCGGGACTGCAGCCCGCCATGCCTGAGCCTCCCACCCACTCCATGGGCTCCTGTGAGGCCCGAGCCTCCCCGACGAGTGCCACCCCGTGCTCCACGGCACCTAGTCCCATCGACCACCCAAGGGCTGAGGAGTGCGAGCGCACGGCGCGGGACTGGCAGGCAGCTCCACCTGCAGCCCCGGTGCGGGATCCACTGGGTGAAGCCAGCCGGGCTCCTGAGTCTGGTGGGGATGTGGAGAACCTTTATGTCTAGCTCAGGGATTGTAAATACACCAATCGGCACTCTGTATCTAGCTCAAGGTTTGTGAACACACCAATCAGCACCCTGTGTCTAGCTCAGGGTTTGCCAATGCACCAATGGACACTCTGTATCTAGCTGCTCTGGTGGGGCCCTGGAGAACCTTTATGTGGATACTCTGTATCTAACTAATCTGATGGGGACGTGGAGAAGCTTTGTGTCTAGCTCAGGGATTGTAAATGCACCAATCAGCACCCTGACAAAACAGGCCACTGGGCTCTACCAATCAGCAGGATGTGGGTGGGGCCAGATAAGAGAATAAAAGCAGGCTGCCTGAGCCAACAGTGGCAACCCGCTCGGGTCCCCTTCCACACTATGGAAGCTTTATTCTTTCGCTCTTTGCAATAAATCTTGCTACTGCTCACTCTTTGGGTCCACGCTGCTTTTATAAGCTGTAACACTCACCGCGAAGATCTGCAGCTTCACTCCTGAAGCCAGCAAGACCACGAGCCTACCGGGAGGAACGAACAACTCCAGACTCGCTGCCTTAAGAGCTGTAACACTCACCGCAAAGGTCTGCAGCTTCACTCCTGAGCCAGCGAGACCACGAACCCACCAGAAGGAAGAAACTCCGAACACATCTGAACATCAGAAGGAACAAACTCCAGACGCGCCACCTTAAGAGCTGTAACACTCACCGCGAGGGTCTGCGGCTTCATTCTTGAAGTCAGTGAGACCAAGAACCCACCAATTCCGGATACACCAGCAATTCCTACCACTGCAGTTTCAGGTTGTTAGCAGGTATTTTGCCTATAAAATAGCAGGACGGAAAATTAAAGCTTAGGAAAGTAAATAATGTAGAGATTTCAAACATAGAATATTTCAATCTTTCCTTGTAGTAAGAAGAGGTACTACCTATGAGTTTCAAAAAACAAGACCCTTTCTAAATAACAGATGGCAAGGATGGTGTCTGAGGACTTGAGGACTCTTTCCAAATAATAGATGCCAAGGAAGTGCCTGAGGACTTGAGTTTACCGAAATGAAAAGTTTACCTAAATATGCTACTGTAGAGTTTTTCTTTCTCTAGGTCTTATTCTTGTTTGTCTTAGCCCATAGGAGCTGAGCAACTCACCAGTAGATGGTGACATGCCGGGTCTTACCCTATGGTGGCAGAAAGTGAATACAATTGTCCACTGTGAGCTGGATGTCTGCGGAACCCTCAAGTTTTCTTTGAATGGTAAAGACTGGGAAGTTTTTGATAGGAGGAAATATGTGGCTTTTGTTAACCTATACCTGAGTTCTCCCCATATATTCCTTGGACACAAAAACAAACAAAAAACCCTCTGGAAAATATTTAAAAATGTTTATTCTGAGCCAATATCAGTGACCCTGGCCCGAGGAAACAGTCTCAAGAAGTCTTGAGAAAGTGTGTCTGAGAAGGTCAGGTTACAGGTGGGCTTTATACATTTTAGGGAAATAGGAATTGTAGATGAAATCATAAATCAGTACATAAAAGGTGTACATTAATTCAGCCTAAAGAGGCAGGATATCTTCAAGAGGGAGGGACATTATAGGTCATAGGTGGGTTAAAAGATTTTCTAATTGGTAATTAGTGGAAAGAGCTAAGCTTTGTCTAAAGACTTGAAGTCAGTAGAAAGAAATGCTTGAGTTAAGAGAAGTGGGGGTCGTTGACCCTAGGGTTCTTGTGATGTAGATGAAGCCTCCTTGGTAGCTTCCAGAGAGGGTAGATGGTAAATACCTGTTTTCCTTTCAGATGGACCTTAAAACATGTCAGACTCATAGTTAATCTCTCCTAGAGGAGGAAAGGCCTGACTGTACTAATGGAGATGCTCTACAGATGCAAATTTCTTCCATAAAAGATGGTGTATTAGTCTGTTTTCATGCTGCTGATGAAGACATACCTGAGACTGGGAACAAAAAGAGGTTTAATTGAACTTACAGTTCCACATGGCTGGGGAGGACTCAGAATCATGGCGGGAGGTGAAAGGCACCTCTTACATGGCAGCAACAAGAGAAAATGAGAAAGAAGCAAAAGCAGAAACCCCCAGTAAACCTATCAGATCTCGTGATATTTACTCACTATTATGAGAATAGCACGGAAAACACCAGCCCCTGTGATTCAATTACCTCCCCATGGGTCCCTCCCACAAGGGGAATTCTGGGAGATGCAATTCAAGTTGAGATTTGGATGGGGACACTGTCAAATCACACCAGGTGGCTTTGCAGGGCTATTTCAAAATATGCCAAAGATATTTATTTTTGGGTAAAATATTTTAATGTCTCTCAGGGTCTGCTATTTGTCATATGATGTTGGACCAGTGTCAGTTTGAAATGTGATATTTTATTGCCACAAAAAGTCTGTTTTGTGATCTCTGTTTCAACGTTAATGCTGGTCAGTTGTACCTAAACTCCAAAGAGAGTGTGTTGGACCCCCTTCCCTGTCTTGCCAGGAATTCAGGTTTTCAAGCTTCTCTCGGGTCCCTTTGGCCCAGAGTGTTCCCCGTTCAGTCAGTTTGGAGGTTTAGAATTTCATTTTTGGTTTACAGTTTCTTCATTACTTAGAATATACTTTTTTAGAAGAGTAAAGAAGGAATATATTTAATGTTTCAATGTTGTTCCTTCCAAAGACCAATATCTCCTTAATTTAGAGAGGAAAAATAATCTGCCATTCAAGAGTTTTTCTTTAAAAGGAAGGAATGTGCAGAGGCTTATGTTTTCCATGGGCTCTGCGGGAAGGTAGTCTATTATGGATCAATAACTATTGGTTCATGATTAGCCACTGGTGTTCCCCATTAAAATAAAATTAGACTGTCACCCAGAAAATAATATTGGAACCATGTTTCAATTTCTGAGAAATCTACAAGGGCAGGATATTAATCAACGTGTGCTTTGGGGAACTGAAGCTAAAGTTATAAATATTTCCTCAGGATATATTATATAAGACAATCCAGTTACTGATGAGGCATGAATGCTTTTAATGGCATATTCTGTAGGGTGATTTATTTTAATTGTCACTCTGGGACCTGTTATTACACAGTGCTAGGATGGGTCACTGCATTAGAAAATTAAAGCTGATGAAAGGCATTCATTTTTACCCTGTTTGTAAATTCAGGCTTTTGGGATAAAGAGATGCTGACTATATATAAATCCTGCATGGCCAGTAATTCAACATTCACTACATCTCCTAATGTCAAAGACACTCAGGAGTGCCTGGTCAGAGTGACTCTGACTGTGTGGCACGTACTGTACCGACACGCTGCCCATGGCTATGGTACCGGGGCTGTAATAGGACTGCATGCCTCTCACCCAGGAGACACCAGTCCCCTGGCTACTGTCAGGCAGGCTTAAGGTGGAGAGTCCAGAACACCATCAGAATCAGGGTGAGGAGGCAGCTAGCATTTATCAAACGCTAGTGTGACTATTTGACAGGTGCCTTGTATGTTATCTCACCACTGTCATCCTATTTTACCTCTACCGTCTCCTAAATGTATGGTATTATCTCTATTTTACAAATAGAGAGTCAGAGTGAATAATTAACTTAGAGAAATTTACAGTTACTAAAATACAATGCCAGCAATAATTTAGTTTGTAGGGAATTGGTTTAGAAAATACACGTTCATATGCTTTATTTTTTTTTGCCTTTTTAGTGGTAAGTGTTGCACTGCTGGTGGTGTAATTATAATTAAAGCGGCATTACTAGAGCTTGTTATACATAACGCCTGTATTGTGGCCTTAGCTTCTAGGACAGTGTCTGTTTTTTTCCGTTGTTCATATAGAGCCTTGGGGCAAGTCCAGCAAGTCGGGGTTGGGGGAGGGGTGTGGAAAAGACACCAATGACCCAAGTCCAGGACTCGAGCTGGAGTTTTGAACAGACTCCTCCAGTTATATAAATCCTGTGGACTTATACAATTGAACAAAAATACATGGTGCATTTTGGAGAGCAGAAATGCAGTTATTCACTCTATTTTTGCTTAAATGAATCCATCTTTTGTGCATGTTAAAATAGCAAATTGCCTGCAATGTAATGTCTAGTCATTTTCCAAAGCAGAATAAGAAAGTGAGATGTCAAAAATCTTGTCTGCTATTTACATAATTACCAGATTAAAAAGGAATTGTGTAAATGCAAATGAAGGTACAGGTGCCTGCCATGCAGAGATTACCCAAATTATACCCAGTTTGTCTAGGAAAATTGTTCCTTTAGTGTCATCTGAAAGGTATAAAGCTTCAAGATGAGAGAAACTAGCTCTTCAAATTATAGCCATTGTAGCTGAAAAGGTGACGTCTAGCACGCCAGGGTAATGCTTTGCAGACTGCCTGCCGGTCTCCTGTATCCAGATGGCTCCTTCTGTCAAGGCCTGATGGGATCGCACCCCACCCGGGGAGCTGCAGTTGGTTTTGCCTGTCTGTGCTAACTACACTGGAATTAGACAATAGATGTTTAATTTTACTTAGAGAGTAAAACTTGAATTGTTCAGTCATTGATTTCTATTAAAAAATCTAAATCAAGATGTTTCTTCACCAATTGTAAATCATTTCGAAGGCAGCAAATTTAAAATTCTAGTATCTGGTAGCCATTGATCAAAAAAGTTGAAAAGTGGCATACTACTTACTGCTTTATTGTTTAACTTTTTTTTTCTTTTTCTCTTTCTTTCTTTCTCTTTTCTTTTCCTTTCCTTTTCTTTCCCTCTCCTCCCCTCTCCTCCCTTCTCCTCCCCTCCCCTCCCCTCCCCTCCTCTCCCCTCCCCTCCCCTCTCCTCTCCTCTCCGGTGGGGTCTCACTCTGTTGCCCAGGCTGGAGGGCAGTGGTGCGATCTCACCTCACTACAACCTCCACCTCCCGGGTTCAGGTGATTCTCCTGTCTTAGCCTATCGAGTAGCTGGGATTACAGGTGCTTGCCACCACGTCCAGCTAATTTTTGTGTTTTTTAAGTAGAGATGAGGTTTTGCCATGTTAGCCAAGTGGGTCTCGAACTCCTGACCTCAGGTGATCCGCCCATCTTGGCCTCCCAAAGTGCTGGGATTAAGCTTGAGCCGCCATGCCTGCTCTATTGTTTGCATTTCTACATGCACAGATATCATTGGAAATACTCTTTCTATTAAAATATTGCTTTATTTTTATATTTAATTGACCAGTTTTAGAGGTTAAATAGCGTACGTCAATAAACAATTATTATTGAAAGTGTCTGTACTTCAAAAATTTTAGCCACCGATCTGGGGTTTCCTTGGATACTCTTAGTTTCATGTGCTATATTTATTTTCACAAATGATTTGTTAAAGGACTAACCAGCAATCATCTGCTATATGCATTCTTGTAAGTTTTTCTTAAATAAAAATTTTATTCTTTTACAATATGGGATACTTAACTGAAAAAGTTTCCCTCTTTTAAAGTATGGCTTTACGTAAGTGCAGCTGGAGAACGTACTTGTCTACAATGTTAAGAATGCCCTTACCGGTTTCCCCTAGCAAAGATAATCAAGAGTTATTTATTGATTTATTTATTTATTTTCCCAAACTCTCCTTTTTATTCCCCAACTTCTGTTTCCATCTCCAGAGAACATATTCTCTTGGTGCCTCATGTACTAAACTTCTTGTCATATCTGACAATTATTTTTTCCTCTGTTATCCAGACAAGTTGGCCAGAGACAAGGTCTAATCATTTCCCCGTTAAAATATTTCTGGAATGCATGAGTCTCCCAGCATTTCTTCAACTCTAGATCCTTCTCATTTCATCCCAAAGGAGAATCTTTTGAGGACCCCTTGGCCCTCAGCCTCCTCCACCGCTGACTCTGCCTGGCCCGTGCCGCCCACCTCTTTCATCCTCCTGTTCCTTCGCTGTACTCTCACCTCCTTCTCTATCGACACCCTTTTCTCTGCTTCCCCTCATGGCTTCCCTTCCGTCGAGGGCACATCCGGAGCCACTGCGTTTTGTCGGCACCTGCATCGCTTGCCTTCCTTGTTGTTCTGCTGGAATGTTCTCATGTGTTTACATTTAATATGCTAGGGCTTTGTCACGCATTCACTATTCCTTGCATTTCACTTATGTTATTTCACGCTGAGTACACAATACCCGGTCACATAACAGGTATTTCATTCACCGATTCTACTGCTGCTATTATTGTTATCATCATTATTGTTTTGAGACAGAACCATCCTTTGTCACGCAGGCTGGAGTGCACTGGCAGGATCTAGGCTCACTGCAACCTCTGCCTCCCAGGTTCAAGTGATTCTCGTGCCTCAGCCTCCTGAGTAGCTGGGATTACAGACAAGAGCCACCACGCCTGGCTAATATTTTTAGTAGAGTCGGAGTTTCACCATGTTGGCCAGGCTGGTCTCAAACTCGTGACCTCAGGTGATCCTCCCACCTCAGCCTCCCAAAGTGCTGGGATTACAGGCATGAGGCACCGCACCGGGCTTACTGCTGTTATTAAATGGGATACTTGTGAGGGAGTGAGGCCAAGAGCTGACATGTAAACACACAGCTTCAATGCCATGCGCTCGGAATTATGTTCGAGTGGAGATTAGGAGCCACGACAGATTGCTCAGCCCAGCAGGATGAGGGCTGGGTTTGGGCTCAACAGGGTAGACTCATGTTGATGGGAAACCCGAAGATTCATGAAAACTGAGCATTTTCAGGCAGTTTTATGCAGCCACCACTTCCCCAACATGCTGAGCCACTTGCAGAGTGGAACTTGATGCAGCGTGTGAACCCCCAAAAACGTGGAAAGGAGCAAAGACTTTCATGTAAGAATTCCTCTTTCCTGTCTACTTTTCTTCTCTCTATAAATGTGATCATTTGAAACTCTACTCTTTGTTGCTCCACAAAGTCTTACCTAACTTAGAAACTATGCCTGTCTGCTTTTAGAAACTACAGTCACATTTCTCATCATTTTGGCAATGCTGGATGCTATGGGGACACCGTGTTTAGGCTTAAGTAGATTGTGTAACTTACTCTGAAGACCATGGACTTCCATTCTTTTCCTGCAGGCAAATGAGATGAAATATTGACACCTGAAATTCTCTTTGAGATCAGGGATTTTCCTTAATATGATACTTAATATCAACCAAACCTCCCTGATCCTTAGTATCCATTCTGTAAGCCCTAATAGCTTTCATCATTTGGGGATTCTGATTTAGGCCGATTTTAGTGTGTGACATCTATCTTTCCGACTTTTTCTCAACTAGGGCTGCAAGATGTTTCAAACAAAAATACAGGGCACCAAGGCATATTTTAATTTCAGATAAATGATAATAAACAATAAATACCTCTTTATTATAGATATATCCCAAGTTTTAATTCATAAAAGTACTTGGGACATAGTTATCCTCAAAATTATTCATCATGTATCTGAAATTAAAACTTTTTTGGATAGCCTATGTTATGTCTGCCAACTCTTTCCTCAGTTTATCTTCCCAAATGGCTGGAAGTGGGTTAAAGTCTTTTCCTACAAGAGTCCAATACCAGTGGAGCAGAATTACAGGCCTCTAACATCAGCGATGTAATACATATGTCTTCAAGCATGTTTTATTTCTCTTCTTATCTAGTGTCTTGCCAACAGTCTTTCAGCCTCCCTTTCAATCTGCGTAAGTGCATTCCAGTAACTCTGATCACGGGATACTCTTCCAGGTATACATTCATTTGTTTTTGTTTATCTCCACTGTTGGTTTTTCATGATTATTTCCTTGGCTCCTGTAAGCTTCTGAGTCATCACTGCCTCCTGGAAGACGTTGTTAGCCTACTATCTCTTCTGTTATGGATTGCCTCCATCAGAAGACCTACTCTTCAATTTCCTCTGGAGTTTCTCAGATCTGCCAATGGAGACATTTCAGCATCCTCTTCTGACTGTCAACCTGATTATTGTCTATTTTACAGCTACCCAGGACAATTTCTTTCCTGAAGCTAGGTGGGCAGAATGGATCTTGAAGGGCCTGTGCAGCCAGGTCATCCCTGCACCAACAGCCACTCCACTCCCCTGCTGGAGCCTCCTCCCAGTCACATCAGCCCGTTTCTGAAGGAACTGTCTTCACCCCAAACCAGCTCTTGTCAATGCTTTTAAAATTTTAAAATAAGGAAGGTAATTCATATTAAGGAAGCTTTTTTTTTTTTTGATGGAGTCTCACTCTGTGGCCAGGCTGGAGTGCAGTGGCGTGATCTTGGCTCACTGCAAGCTCCGCCTCCCAGGTTCAAGTGATTCTCCTGCCTCAACCTCCAGAGTAGCTGGTATTATAGGTGCCACCACCACACCTGGCTAAATTTTGTATTTTTAATAGAAACAGGGTTTTTCCATGTTGGACAGGCTGGTCTCAAACTCCCAGCCTCAGGTGATCTGCCTGCCTCGGCTTCCCAAAGTGCTAGGATTACAGGCATGAGCTACCGCACCCGACCACGAATGACTTTCTAATTGAAAAGTTTGTATTTGAGAGAAATATCAACCAGTATTTTCAACATTGCAAATGATTGTTTAGAAGAAAAACTTGTTAATTTAGAATTACTTGGCCAGGTGCTGTGGCTCACGCCTGTAATCCCAGTACTTTGGGAGGCCGAGGCGGGCAGAATACAAGGTCAGGAGATCGAGATCAGCCTGGCTAACACGGTGAAACCCCGTCTCTAATAAAAATACAAAAAAAAACCCAAAAAACATTAGCCGGGCATGGTGGTGGGCGCATGTAGTCCCAGCTACTCAGGAGGCTGAGGCAGGAGAATGGCGTGAACCCGGGAGGCGGAGCTTGCAGTAAGCTGAGATTGCGCCACTGCACTCCAGCCTGGGTGACAGAGTGAGACTCCATCTCAAAAAAATAAAAAAAAAAAAAATAAATAAATAAATAAATAAATAAATAAATAAATAAATAAAAAATAGAATTCCTTATGGACATTCCCACGGAAATGTAGATACATTTGTCTTCCATGGCATTAAATGGCCCTGTGTTTACATGCACAAAAATTCCTTCTGAGATTCCTTATAGGTCAGCAACATCATTTTGGGCATTCCTTTGAACAGCCTTACAAATAATTGGTGACCACAAATCAGATGGAAAATTCTTAGCTTCTTATCGTTTAAAACTCTCTAAAAATTATACTTTTAGGTCTATAGAATTATGAAGGTTTGTACTTTAATGATGAAAATTTCTCTTTTCTGAGCTCATCTGTGATCTGCTGTTCTTAACATCCCTTGGGAGGGAAAGTAGGGTTTGTGGGCTTGTAAGAGATTAGTATTCGGGTACTTTTATCAGTTCTGCCACAAATTGTTAACCACAAATAGAGGACAGTTTTCCTCATTGTTCAGTGTTTCAGTTTGCTTACCTTTTAAGCAGAATCACCTGTTAAACCTACTTAAGATGTATACGAATGAACTGATAAAAATATGGCTTTCTAAATTGAATGAGGCATTATTATTATATGATTACTAAGATTTTATTTTCTTCATGCATATTTAGGCTCTATATCCACATTCCAGGGGGATTGGCATTTATCCTTATTTTTCAATCCCTGTACTCGATCAGGCTATCAATGGTTGATGTTACCCTTCTATGTGCCACGGGTCACCTTTAAAAAATTGCCTTGTGATTTTTAAAGCACTTCCACGTGTGCTTTCTTCTAAGAGCCACGCATCATCCTAATACACAGACCACACGCCCTAGGAGTAAGGGCCGAGCAGCGGTAACGGTGAGGCCCCTAAGCGTGGCTCCGATAGAGCAGAAACCCCATGGAGCACATTGCAGTTGGTGGCTGTCTATTCTCTAGGCCATTTGGGCACAAAAGTGGCTTCCTACATGGTCACAGAAGAACCCCTTTCTTTTCCCTCCTCATGTTATCAGAGCTGGAAGTGCAGCATTTCTGTGTTTCCATGTTTCAGGTCTCAAAAAAAGGAAAGTATATGGAAGGAATGCCCAGTGTTGGCAGGTGGGGCACAGAGTCTGCTGGCCACAGCCACTCAGCAGCCACGCCATGACTTTGGAGGGAAGGGAGACGTCTCTGTCACAGTTGCTGAGAACGAGAGGAATTAAGCCTTTCACCTCAATTCAAACTCCTGTTTTTATTTTTTCTCATTTCATCCCTATCTAAATCCTATTGACATTTCTAATAAGGCCTGGCTTTAATTTTATATATTTTATAAACCCTGTGTCACTGCTCCATTTGAAAGTTATTTTATTTCACTAAATTATGTGTTTATTCTTAGAATGCCTGGCATTTTCCCATGCCGACTTTTTTTCTTTTTTTTTTCCTTTTTTTTTTTTTTTTTGAGATGGAATCTTGCTTTGTTGCCCAGTCTGGACTAAAGTGGTGTGATCTCAGCTCACTGCAAACCTCTGCCTCCTGGATTGAAGTAATTCTCATGCCTCAGCCTCCTGAGTAGCTGAGACTACGGGCATGTGCCACCACATCGGCTGATTTTTGTATTTTTTATTAGAGACAGGGTTTCACCATGTTAGCCAGGCTGGTCTCGAACTCCTGACCTCAGGTGATCCACCGGCCGTGGCCTCCCAAGTGCTAGGATTACAGGCGTGAGCCACTGCGCCAGGCCCATGCTGATTTTTACTATTGGTTACTTTTTCCCATCTGAATATCTTTCTTCAACTAGATTGTAAACACCCCAATTAGAGAAACATGATTGCATAATTTATACACATGACACGTGCCACACAGATATACCCTGCATACATATGATACACACACCACATACAGCACACACACATACATGCCACATGCCACACACAACCAAAATACAAATATGTGCATGGATGACACACACAAACACCACACACAGATACATACACATGACACACACCACACACACCCTACAGAAATATATGCACATAGAGATGACACACACACACCATACACAGATACCCATAACACACATCACACAGACATTCCCTACCTACATACACTCACACAGATGACATATGCCACACACACCCGAAATACGTATGTGTACACCGATGGCACATACTTACATCACACACAGACACACACATGACATATACACATACACACCCTACAGACATACATGCACACAGATGACACACACCATACACAGATACACATGGCACACATCACACAGACATGCCCTACATTCATACACTCACATAGATGACACACACTACACTGACACATACACAAAAGACACACAACCTAAATGTACATGTTTACACAGATGACATACTGTACAGATACACATATACCTATGGCACACAGAATACACACATACACATAAATACGTAACAAGTGCACACCTCATACACAGCCCCTCATACATCCCATAAATATACACATACACACCACACACACCACCACACACCCCAAATGTACACACACACACATACACACACACTTTCTGCTTTCAGCTCAGACCTTCCACTTGTTAGTTTCAGCTGTGCAGGAAGTCCCCTGTTGTAGATTGACTGTGTCTCCACAATTCATATGCTGAGGTCCTAACCCCCAGTACCTCCCAATGAGACTCATTTGGAGAGAGAGTCTTTGAAAAGATCCTGTTAGGATGTGGTCACGAGCATGGATCCTAGTCCAATAGAACTGTATCCTTCTATAAAGAAGAAATGTGGACACAGACACACAGAGGAGAGACAGTGCGAAGACACAAGGAGGAGACACCATCTGCAAGCCGAGGAGGAAGGCCTGGAACAGGTCCCTACCTTAGCCCTCAGAAGGAACCAACCTGGGTCTCAGACTTCCGGCCTCAGAACTGTGATAGAATCGCTTCTGTTGTTTAAGCCTCCCTGTTAGGGGATTTGTTTGCAACAGCCCTACCTACAAAACTAACACATTTCCCAGAGACGATGTAATAAATGTCTAGTGTACTTTAAACAGGAATACTCTTATACATGTGTAGCTTCCCCAAAGCTGGGTATTAGTCCAAGCTCATAATTTCAAGTACCACAGAACCCCTTTTTGTCAAAAAATTCTGCTTTCATATACAATTAATTACAATTCATTTGTTTATTAATTTTCCTGTGTAATGTTGTTCAAAGGACACAGTTGTCCTTTGAACAACGAGGGTTTGTGGCATAGACCTCACAGTCAAAAATCTGAGTGTAATATTTTACTACCCCAAATTAACTTACGAATAGCTTACTGTTGACTGGTCACTTTGCCAATAACATAAACAGTCTATTAATCCATACTTTTTATGTTACATGTGTCATATACCATGTTCTTAAAGTAAGCTAGAGAAAAATAAATGTTACTAAGAGAATCATAAGGAAGAGAAAATATATTTACTGTTTATTAGGTAAAAGTGGATCATCAAAACTTCATGTTGAGTAGGCAGAGGAGAAAAAGGAAAGGAGAAGTTGGTCTTGTTGTCTCAGGGGTGGCAGGGGCAGAAGAAAATCCATGTATACGTGAACCCGTGCAATCCAAGCTCCTATTGTTCAGCAGTCAACTGTATACTATGAATTCAATTGGATTAGGCACTTTATAGAATAATCGTTTCTTTCTGGCCACATGTGGATTTTTTTCCATTTTTAAATTGCTTTTCTATTTGCCTTTTCTATTCTTTTTTTTCTATTAGGCTTTCTATTTTTGCCTTAGCAAATGAGATAGGAAAATATAACTATATTCTTTCAAGATTTTATCCGAATCCTCTGAGTTCACGGAAACATTTTCTCTGAGATTTGTGGAAATACTTTATTTCCTTCAATATTCTTTTCCTATTACATGTAAATATATGCACATTTATGGAGCCAAATATGCCTGCTGTATCTTTCTGCAACATCAGAGTATTGCTTCTGATATGATTTGGCTGTGTCCCTACCCAAATCTCATCTTGAATTGGAGCTCCCCTGACACATGTTGTGGAAGGGACATAATTGGAGATAATTGAATCATGAAGACGGTTTTCCCCACACTGTTCTCCTGGTAGTGAATAAGTCTCAAGAGATCTGATGGTTTTATAAGAGGTTTCCCTTTTCACTTCGTTCTCACTCTTTCTTGCCTGCCACCGTGTAAGAGATGTCTTTCACTTTCTGCCATGATTGTAAGGCCTCCCAGCCACGTGGAACTGTGAGTCCATTAAAACTCCTTTTCTTTATAAATTACCTTGTCTCAGGTATGTCTTTAGCAGCAGTGTGAAAATGGAGTAATACAGCCTCCCTCACATAATTAAAATACTATATATATATACACACATATATATTTATATGTATATACACATATATTTATATATACATATATACACATATATATACACATATACATGTATTTATATATACACATATATATACACATATACATATATTTATATATACATATATATATATACATATATATATTTATACATATAAACATCAGTTTTCTTGTGGTAAAGTCCCCTTATAATAAAATTCACTATGTTTATTGTACTGTTCTATGAGTTTTGACAAATACAGAAAGATGTGTAACCACTGCCTAGATGAAGACATAGAACAATCCCAACACCCTCCAAAACTGCCCCCACCCTTTTGTAGGAAAATCATCCCCACCTCCAGCCCCTGGCAAATTCTCCTCTATTTCCAGTCCCTGCAGTTTTGTTTTCTCCACAAAGTTGTACACATGGAATCATACAATCTGTAGCCTTTTTGAGTCTGGCCTTTTCACTTCAAATCCTGCATTAGATATTCATACATTTTGTTAAGAGTATTGGGTAGTTTGTTCCTTGTTATTAATAAGAGATGTCACATTCTACAAATGTGCCACTGTTTATCTAATAACCAGCCACAGAGCATTTTGGATGTTTCCAGTATTTTTGAATTATGGATAAGGTGGCCAGAAAACATTCATGTGTAGGTTTTGTTACAATTTAATTTCTCTTGCATACCACTTGAAAGTGGTCTCCTTGGGTCAAAATGGTAGGTGTATGTTTAATTTTCTAAGGACCTGCCAAGATGTTTTCCAGAGTGGCTTTAACATTATCTATTCCCACCAGCAATAAATGAGAGTTTCAATCAGGAGTTAGTATCATCCCGTGTATTTCTTTCTTTTTCATTTATTATTATTTTTTTAATTTTCGCTTTTTTAACAGGTGTATAGTGATATCTCATTGTGGTTTTAGTTTTTAATTTCCTGATGAATAATGAAGTTAGGCATCCTTTTAAATGCTTATATGCCATCTGTGTATTTTCGTTTGTAAAGCATCTGTTTAAATTATTAGCCAAAATTTAATTGCATTTTGTGTTTTCCTATTATTGAATTTTGAGAATTATTTATATATTCTGGATGCACGTCCTTTAGCACATATTTCTTGCAAATGTGTCATAGCCTGTCATTTGTCTTTTTCTTTTCTTAACAGGATCTTTCAAAGGGCAGTGTTTTTTAATTGTGAGGATATTGTGTTTGTCATTTTTACTTTTAGTGATTGCGTATTTCATGTTACAGTGAAAAAATTTTCTAATGCAATATTATGAAGATTTTCTTTTATTTTATCTTCTGAAAATTTCCAGTTTTAGGTTTTAAGTTTAATTTTATGGACTAGTTTGAAATTTTTATTTAGATTATAAAAGTATGTACCCAGATTTTTGGTTTTTGTTATTGTTTTATTAATGTCCAATTGTTTCAGCATCATCTCTGGAAAATATTATTTTCTCCATTGAATTTCATTTGCATCTTGGTAAAAATTTAATTAACCATATAAGTATGCGTCTATTTCTAGATTCTATCCTGTTCCATTGGGACCATATTGGGTTTGTACTTCAATTTTGGGAGAATTGACATCTGACCTGGACTGAGTCATTCAACCTATAATAATACTTAGTTGCTTTATTTTTTAGATGATTTTTTATTTCTTTTATCATTGTTTTATAACTTAAAATGTACAGGTCTTGCACTTATTTTGTTAGATAACTTAAGGATAATGATTTTTGGATTATCTCTTTCTTGGTTCTGAGATAATATTATATTTTTAATATAATATTAAAAGCACTATCTATTAATTAAAGATGAAGATAAATGGCATAGGATCTCTTAATATTTTCAACTAGTAGCGGATAAAGCATTTTAAAGGAACATTAGGAGACAAAGCAGTGTTGATATTTTATTTCATGAATTGCTTTCCTTCAACATACCAGGCTCATATTGCACCTAAATATTTATAAATTAATATTTATTTATTTTAGATATAGGGTCTCACTCTGACACCCAGGCTGAAGTGCAGTGAAGTCATCATAGCTGTTTGCAGCCTTGAACTCCTGGCCTCAAGCCATCCTCTCGTCTCAGCCTCAAGTTGCTGGAACTACAGGCATAAGCCACTGTACCCAGCTAAATCAATTTTTAAATAATGAAATTTTGCCTTTGAAATGTTTAGCATAAATAATTAGTAAGTACATATTTTTGACTCTGTGACATTTTAGAAATTTTCAGAGTAAAGCTTTGCGGTTTCTTCACCTTAATGGTTGCAGTAGATGTGGAATACAGTCTTTGCAATTTTTTCACGTGCCCCTCTGTGTATTCCTACTCAGAGAAAGATACTATGGATTAGCATTTATTTTCACCCGAAGGGCTCTCTGCTCCAGGACTTGATTCCTTGTGCTAGCAATGGCATCAGGGGATGCCACTGCAATGCCAAATGCATGGGCATTATGGAAGAATGCGATTGGCATAGGGTAAACCAGTCCAGGACAATGAAACACTTTTGGGCTAACTGAGGGGTCTTGATATCAATTTTCTTATGGTTTTGTTAATAAAGTGATGGAAACAATCATTTGAAACAGTCATTGTGCATATTAATTAGTTGAAAAAATTGACACAAAATACTCTTGGCAGCTGCTAAAACTGCTTATGATGATATTCTGAAGCACAATTTGACTGAAAAAAATCCCAGAAGTACACTTAATAGAAATAATGACCCAAATCATGAAATGTACAATGACAGAAATTATTATTGATACATATTATGAATATAAAACAAATACATACAATGACTCTTATGACAAAATGTCCTCAGAATGCTATCATTTTGTTGGAAAAGGTGGTTCTGAAAAATGCAAATTAAAATAGACTCAGGAAGGCTTTTATTGTGCATTGTAGGTAAAGCATGAAATAATTTCATAGACTATTATAATTAGCTTTGAAAAAATAATTTCTAAACAAATATCCATCAGCTTTGTTATCCAAACCTAAGTCCAACTCCTAATTATTATCCATGGGTGCTGACTATTGGAATGGCAATCATTAGAGGAAGATGAAGGCTGACTGTGTGTGTGGGCAGGGTACATGCTGGGGTGATGTTAAGGTCTGATTTAGACACATTGAGTTTAGATGCCTGAGAAACATGTGAGTAGAGATAATGAGTTGGCAATGAGAAATATAATTGCTTTCTCTCTATTACATTCACTCAGCCTAAGTAGCAACTTAATGCATGTTTCTTTACTGAATTAAATTCATTCATACCATGGTCAAAAAATTGGATTTTCATGAAACATGTTAACATAGAAAGTAGGATCAGGAATTAAATTAAGAATTACCTTGTTTAGAACCAAGTAGAACTTACTTTTTATTGCAATCTGTGTAGGATGTCTTCCAATATCAGATTGCTTGATCAGATTGCCTAAATTGCTCAAGGATTCCGGTTGCTTGGCACCACCCATGTAGTACTGTAGTTCAAGGAATAGTAAAATTGAGTTGCAGACTTTGCATCTGTACTGCCACGGGGGCTCCTGGGCATTGTATTCAGTTTTCCTAGTCCAAGTTGCTACTTGGAATCATCTTCAAGAATCAACGTTAAGCTGATTTTTCAAAATACATTCTAATTAATTGATCAAATAGGTCTACTTGTTTTGGGGTACAGTTGTCATCATGCAGTGGACTTTGAATTGCTTACAAATGGGAAATCAACAGGCAAATAAGCAAGGACATAAAGACATAAAATACTAGTGACTTCTGGTTGCTGTGGTATGTCAATGTTCTGAATAACGAGAAAGGGTATTATATTAGTATTTCTAATTCTGAAAAAATACTATGTCATTTAGAGCCATTTGATCAATTAGCAAATATTCTTTAATTTTTGTCTTAGTTCATTTTCTGTTACTATAACAGAATATCTCCAGCTGGGTAACTTAGGGAGAATAGAATTTTATTTGGTGCACAGTTCCAGAGGCTAAAAGCATCCAGTGAGTATCATCCTAAGATGGATGTGAGCACAAGAGACGGAGAGGAAATGGGGGCCAAACTCCCTCCTTTTATAACTAGCTCAATTCTGTGATAATGGCCTTGATCCACTCACGGGGAAGAGCCCTCAGGATCTAATCACCTCCTAAAGGCCCCACCTCCAAATATCATCAACATGAATTTAGGGATTAAGTTTCCAATACATAAGATTTAGGAGACAAATTCAAACCATAGTATTTTCCATGTGGGATGAAAAACATGACATTCCCTTATAGAAGATCATGAACATTTTGTGGTAGGGAGAAGGAGAAACAGAAAGGTCATGTATTGAGAGGCAAAAATGTTTTTGAAAAAGAAATAATAGGTTCTAAGTATTTTTAAAGAAGAGAATGATTACTGTGAACTGGTATTTTCAGGGAGGACTTCTGAGAGCCGGATAAAAGTAACCTACATTATTGACATTTCTTGGGATCTGGGATTGGGTAAAATCATTAAATGAAGATAACATTACACAGTCACAGGAAAAAAAAATGATTTGCAGGTATGAGGTTTCAGAAGAAATAAATATTTTACTCAATTCAAAAAATAATATATTGAATCTTTTCTGTATTTCAGGTACTACACTATATGGTAAGGCTACAACAGTGAACAAACCTTAAATCTCTGTCCCTGGAGAGTTTATTTTCCAGTGGGGAAAGCAACAAGCATTTGAATAGTGCATAAGTGTTATGATAGGAGCAGAGGCTCTGAAAAAAAAAATATAAGAGGGGGTATTTGGTCTAGCCATAGTGTCATCATAAATCTTGGCAGAAATTATACCTAAAGAGAAGTTTTAAGGGCAGCTGGGAATTACCGAGGTTGGCGGCGGGGAGGATTTTCCAGGCAAAGGGGAAAATTGTATAAAGGCCTAGTCTCAAAAAATTAAGGATGTGTTCCTGAATTTGAAGAAGTTCACAATAACTGGAGCTTACAAGTTTGTAACAGGTGGTGAGGAAAAATTGACTGAGCTTCTAGATCAAATCTCATTAAGATATGTAGGCCATATTTTAATGTCAAGATCAGGTTTGCATTTTGGAAAACTTTGCTCTGAGGGAGGGTGAAATAGCTGGAACTATGGTGGATGGGATTGTAGGCCAATTAAGAAGCCTTCTATGTGCCTGGGTTGCAGGATGAGAATGTTGGCAGGAGAAAGGTAGCATAGTGGGGACACAGCCCAGTAAAGACAATGGAGAGAGAGAAAATCTGTGGAACATCAGGACAGAGGGCATGTATGCTCATGAATGGAAAAAAGGAGGGGACTTTGACAGTTGATTTTTTGGCTTGGACTAATCGATTGATGTTTGCATTTTTAGTAAAAATGGACAACATAGGAAGAGGAGCATGTTTGGGTACAAAATTATAAGTATTTTAAACTATATTGTTTTGCAAATGTCTACATCAGTCTGTACAATGCTATATATGCGTACGGAACAAAAGAACAATCTAGATTCATGATTTGGAAGTCATAATAACATAGATGTTATCTGAAACCATAGAGGAAGGGGAGACTATGCCCGTTTGTGTTCTGCGAAGATACACATGAAGGGGTGGTGAAAAATGAAAGCTAGACAGGTTAGCATGATATTATTTTTGTGGAGCTTTAAATATCAGAGTATAAGGTTTAAAATAATCCTATAATTTATGAAGAAAGTCCTGTGGTCTTTCCCTACCCTGCTCCAGGAAATTGGTATGATGCACAGTACTGTGAAACTAAATCTCTGGCAGCTGTGAATGTCTAAAGAAGTATAAGGAACGGAATATGAATGGTGGAAGAGGGGGCGGAACACAGGCAAGATGGATGTGAGAGTGTAAGAGATGTTTTCTGATCTGTTACATCATCCAAAAAGTTATTAGTTTTCCTGGGAAGTTTTCTGGGCAAGAGCAGGCAAAATAAAATGAATTAAACCCCAGTGACAATTAAGTGGGCAGGCTCCCTCCTCATTCAGCATTTTATTGACTCTCTAGATTGAGAATGTCATCAACAAATAAAAAATTCTTGTGAGCTGTAAAATAGTCGGATCTTTCACAGAGCGTTGACAAATTCCCAGGAGATCTCAAATTTCAAGCTGTAACACCACTATTTTACAATTGAAACAGAATTGAACTATAATTCCATACTGCAACCACTCCCACCCCAAGTTAAAGTACCATCATTCTCTTCCCATGAAGAAGATTCCTTTGTAATCCATGGAGGTCTGTAAAGGAAAACCCACACAAGGTAGGATTTCTGTTTTTGAGATTGTGTATTTATTTAGACCATCTATTTCCTGGTCTCGATGTTGCTATAAAGCTCACATTATTGAAATTGGTAGGATGCCCATGAGAATTACTGATTTTCAGCATATATTAGGTGATTCTTCTTTAACCATATTTAAACAGTCAGACATTTCTTGTTTTGACACAATTATTTATTTTTGGTGGATGAGCCACTTCTCTATTACAGAGAACTCAGATTTCTAGTTTGGAAGGCACAGTCATATTCGTTTCTGATCTAGGTTGCATGATTCCCTAGGGCAGCGAGTCATCTCTATGGGACCTTCTTGGTCTTAATATGAAATTTTACAAAACAGGAATAGTGTGTTTTGTTTTAAGTCTCAGTGCTTTCTTAATATCTCTCTTACATCAGTTTTCATCTCCCAGGGTAGGCTCAATCAACCATGAAATCACATATGCTTTAAGTTGAAAAGAGCATTTAGAGGTCACAATATCTAAATCCCCTTAAAAATTTGATATATCTTGCATATCATTTAAGATAGGTACTTACTCTTTCGAAATTTAGGAGTCAACCTGTGTATGGATTTGGGAGTCAGACATATATTGATTCAAATTCCAATTAAGTTGATTATTATCTGTAGGATACCTCCATGACTTCAGTTGCATCCCCTTGAAACAAAGCTGATAATTGTTACATATGAATATTTAGTAATTTATGCACCACACCTGATCTATGCTCCTCCTCCATGCTTCTTCCTCCCACCACACTATTTTTTGCCGTTATCAGATAAACCCACCACAGATTATTAAGTATAGCTGGCCCCAGCCACTAGTGGTGAGTTTTATATTCTTGTAATTTTACATATTTCCAAAAGTAAAAATCATAATTTTGCACAAGAACATGACAATTTCATTGCCACCCCCAGGGCGTGGCTGGGAACAAATTATGAGTTGAGAGTCCAAATTGCCTCTAAAACAAATGATACTGTGGGGACCTGTCTGCCTCCACAAGACTCACTTAAGGCTGCAGGCGTCTTAATAAGTTAGAGGAAAGACTTGTTTACGGGAACACATTTCATCATCAGTGTGCACCATGGATTGCCATCAACCCTTGGAGAGAAGGGCTTGGGACATTTCCACCTGCTGAGTCATACAGTTGCTTCATCGTTATGGTAGCATTTCCTGGAGCTTCCACTGATTTCTAAATAATTCCTCCTAGAAAGCATAGAAAAGAGAAAACCTACAGAAGGATGAAATTTCTTCATCAAAGTATCCTGGAGCTGGGACAGTAGACACAATGAGTATACTCAATTGTCCCAAAGCCACAGTGGCAGCTTCACTTTACGGGAGACTTGTGTGCTCCTGCATACAGTCTGTGAATCTGTGCTTCTGTGGATCGATATTTTCTGAGCTTATGCATGAACTCGCATAGGGAGAAAAGCATCATGACATTTATGAAAGCTAATGCAATATACATGTGAAATTCCCACAAAAGGAAATTAAAATCTAATTTCAGAATTTGATATCCAATGCCTGTCTAAAAACGCAAAAGGCACAACAAATTAAGCTGAAATAATCAACTGCTGCCTGAAATCATTGATTTGAATCACACAGAACACATAATTGTCTCAATTGAATAAAGTCGCAATCCAAAACAATCCAGTTTTAATAACGAGGCATTTTAAATGAGTCACAATTATAAAGGCCCAGCTGCGACTGTATTCACCCTTAGATGAGAATATAATCTTCTGTCTCTAGCAAAAAGCAATTTTGTTTATCCTTTCCTGGTGCAACAGAAATAATAGGGATTTTAACAGGATCAATCTGTAGTAACTTTTATAGATTGCAAAGCATCTTCGTAATCATCATGATTTAATATCTGTAGCTATTAGTTTTTTCACTAACCTGAGAAGTACAATACTGGTACTAGACAAAATTGGAAATTTTACATCCAACATCCAACTTTGCTAGTATCTGAAGAGATAGAAAAGGTCTTGCTTAAAGCCAGGGTTGTTAATATGTGTACTGGAAGAGATCTCATTTTAGAGCATGGCTTCATGGAAATGGCAATTTTTTGTGTCCAGGCAAAACTGGGTGCAGACTCAGACTCTATCAATTATTAATAGGTAGTTTAGGACCTTGGATAAATTACCTAACCTCTATGAATTGGTTTGCAAAGCTGGAAAAAGGATGAAGACAACATCTACAAAATAGCATCCCACATAGTGTTAATTACATGAAAGATGCGCAAAACTTACTTATTTTTCTAAATTAACCTATAAGCTCTTTTTTTCCTCTGTATTACTAACACTTAGCAATGCCTGTAAGAGATCATGCTCATTACTTATGTTTTGAAATAAATTATACAAATGGAAAAACAAAGGTTATAGATATCATCTGTTGGTCCCCAAATACCAGGAGACTAGAACTCAGTGTTCTAATACTGGGATTGCACCCTTGCCCGAATGACATATCCTGTGAGTCATTAAGCCAGGGGCCTTAGGAAACGTGATTACAACCACTTTTCATTTGGAAAATAGTAGGAGAGAAGACAGACCTCTTTTATGCGGAATATAGATGGTGAATTCAAGGTGAGAAAAACTTGCCAGAATTTGCAGATATAGTTCCAGAACATAGGTTTGAAGAGCACCATATCTCAAAGACAGTAACTCTTCATAGACTTTAATCTTCATGGCAAATTTTGGGAGATGGCTGTGTCCCCACCCAAATCTCATCTTGAATTGTAGCTCCCATAATTGCCACCTGTTGTAGGAATAGCCCAGTGGGAGGTAATTAGATCATGGGGGCTGGCCTTTTCCGGTGCTTTTCCCATGATAGTGAATAATTCTCATGAGATCTGATGTTTTTAAAAAGGGGAGTTTCCCTACACAATCTCTTTTGCCTGCTGCCGTGTAAGATGTGACTTTGCTCCTTATTCACCTTCCGCCATGATTGTGAGGCCTCATCAGCCATGTGGAACTGTGAGTGAATTAAACCTCTTTCATTTATAAATTACCCAGTCTTAGGTATGTCTTTATTAGCAGAGTAAGAACAGACTAATACAGATGATGTGTACAAGGGCAGCCCTGGTTAGGCAGGGGCCATCAGTTTCAAGATGAGCCCTATAGCCCTACCATACAAGGGGTGCTATGAAATCCTACCTGTGCGGGAAAGACGACTTCATTTATGGATGGTAACCAGATAACGTTCTGCCAGCCACTATGAGACAGGCAGAAATCCTTACACTTAAGGTAATTTTTTTTTCAAAGGAAAAAGCCAATGAATTCATAAGAGTAAGATGTGTATAAAATTTATGTTTTTGGCCAGGTGCAGTGGCTCATGCCTGTAATCCCAGCACTTTGGGAGGCCGAGGCGGGCAGATCACAAGATCAGGAGATCGAGACTATCCTGGCTAACACAGTGGTGAAACCCCGTCTCTACTAAAAATACAAAAAAATTAGCCAGGCGTGGTGGTGGGCACCTGTAGTCCCAGCTACTCAGGAGGCTGAGGCAGGAGAATAGTGTAAACCCAGGAGGCAGAGGTTGCAGTGAGGCGAGATCATGCCACTGCACTCCAGCCTGGTAGACAGAAGGAGATTCCATCTCAAAAAAAAAATTGTTTTTGTTGTTTTCTCTGCATTGTTTCTCATTTATATTTCAAGTAATTTAATTATTAACCGCAAAAGCTCAGTGGCACTCACATTTGAATTTTCAGAAATGAAGAAGAAAGAAAGAAGTGTCAGGCAAAGATGAGAAACATTTCAGTTAGGATGGGCAGCCTTTGTTTAGGGGTGCTCAGAAAGAGAGCTATATATGTGGAGAATCTTGATAGTGTAGATCAATAAATAAAGTATCAAAGAACCAAGCCCACTGGAAAGGTTTCCTTTTATAGCCTTTATTTTATTCTTCTTCCTGGGTTACCCATAGTATAAGTGGAAAAAGCCACAGACGATTCTGAGTCTCAGAAGATATAGGGCCTGTGGTTTAAATTGTTACTAGAATGACCTAAAAGCTAACCAGATATCCACCTTTTTACTAGAACCCCTTGATGCATCTATTTAGTCGATTCTGCATTTAGGAAACGTGTGAAGGTAAAGGAAGAAGGATATATGATTCCCAAGCCATAGGTTCCCCCTTTGGTAGCTAACACTGGTGGAATTCCATTTTCCCTTTGAGTGGAGAATTGCCCCAATGCAATGCTGCTTTCTCCATTGAGAATTGCTCTCTGATAGAAAGCTAAAAATTTGGGAAAGGGTATGGTAATGAACCATTCAATCCATGGGTCGTCTTCTCTAAAAAATGTTATGGAGTTACATCTGTGTTTGTACTTTCAGCATTCTGAGTTTGTGTTTGGGCCTTGGTGGTGAAACCATCGTATAAATTGTCATTGGGCTGAAAATACAACTGTGTGACCTGTCATGTTAGGGACTGAGTGTTCGTGTTCCCCCGTGTTGGTGCCTTGAAATCCTAACCCCCGATTTGATGGTATTAGAAGGTGGGGACTTTGGGAGGTTATCGGTCATGAGGGTGGAACTGATGGATGGGATGAGAGCTCTTATGAGCTCCTGTTTCTCCTCTCGGCCATGTGAGGGTGTATCCAGAAGGCTCCATGCATGAATCAGAAGGGGGCCAGGCCATCAATAGACTCCAGATGTGCCAGCACCTTGGCCTTGGACTTCCAGCCTCCAGAACTGAGAGAAAATAGATGTTTGTTATCTAAGCCACCCAGCCTATGGTGTGCTGGTTATAGCAGCTCAGACAGACTGAGTCCTGTAATGAACACAGAATCTCTCTGCAAATGTGAAGACATGAACTTGGACACTTACTATTCTTAGGATTGGGATCCACAGCACACAGCAGGGCAGTGTTCTGCAAGCTCAACTGTTCAAGGGCTGTGCTTGTTCTTTTTTATCACCTCATAGCCCTCCTCTCTGCCTGCGTCCCTGGCATCTCTCGCTTTCCCACTCAGGTTGAATGTGGTTGTACTCAGAACAACCCTGGATCCGCTTCTTCCCTCCACCTGAGAAATCCAGCAGCACCTTTGTAGGCAACAACTTCCCAGATGGAGAACTCACCAGGAGCAGCCCTTGCTAGGATGGGGGTCCCAGGTATCAGCTGAACATTTAAAACATACAAGCAAACCAAAACCAAAACCAAACATGAAACAAAAAGAAATAGTAACCTTTGGGTTCATTATATTTATTACCCTCTTTATGAATACTATCAAATAACAAATTTCCTTATCCTGCTACATAAAGATGAGTAACTTAAAAGGTTTCAGCCCTGGCAGTGGTGGTTTTCAAGTAATCATAACAGTTATACTCCAGCCAAGGTCAGATGTTTGTGGTCTTCCTCTTTTCATTTGCAAAATGAGTTTATGGTACTTATAAAATTCTATGCCTGCCCTAAAATGCAATGATTCTCTTTTCTATTAGTGGATAGTTTGTGGAGAGATATTTTTATATCTGCTACCTCCAAATCAACTTGGAAGGAGGTGAAATACATAAAAGCAATACATACTTTCTACCAATAAGTTTTATTTCAAAGTTATTAATAAATTTACTCATTTATTTGGACTAAAAACCTATTAATTTTTAAATTACCTATGCAATCAGGCTGCCTTTAAACTATTTACACATTGCATCTACCTCCTAATTTAACAGTCTGATCCTCTACAATGGTTAACAGCACTCAATGCATTTGAAAAAACTGGGGATGTTTCTACAGCCTAGTGGAGTGAAAATCTATAGATCAAACTGAGATGTCAAAGAAGCGCCCCAGTCTAGATTCCACACTTCATAAGTGTCTGAAACTCTGCTCTAGAAGGACCTAGAAGTGATGAATGGGGAGGCTTGCAAAGGTGACAAAGTGACTAAGGCCACCATCGTCGCTATGGGCCCCTGCACATCCTGACATGTGGCAGGCATGCGGTAGATACCCCTGGAATGATCTCAGCTGTGACCCTCCTTGAATGTTTGCACTTAGGAAAAGGACTCCTGTTCACAGTATACTGGATGCCTCATCTCTCTCTTTCATATTCTGCTGCTGTCCACACGCTCCCAGCGTGTCATGAACACTGTTTTCCATAGTTTGGGTGGAGCGATAGTGCAAGTATAATTTTTACATTACACAAAGATACTTTCATAGCTAGTAAATCACCAACCGCAAACATGATAAAATGTATCCTAAAGCTGGCAGTCAGAATGAGATTTTATAGGTTTTTCATCAGAGAATCATATTTCACCATTATGTCACAGCTATGAACCTGCTTTTCCAAACAGTTAAACATGGAAGCATTTTGCTTGTCATCACTGGAAAGCTTTTTCTCTCTTCTCCGGGGTCCACATTATCTCAGTGCAGTCTCTGGCCTGTGTGTCCTGTGTCTAGCCACCCATTTCCACATGGGAGTAACTATAGTGGTCATCACTGACAAAGCAAAGGTAGGGATTTTCACTCACACAGAAGCAGTACCTTTCCGAGTCAGTTAATTTGTTGAGGGCTTGCTTTGTGCCAACAGTGTGCAGGGTCCAATGCTTACATTTTGTTATTTAATTGAGTTGAATATGCCTAAGGTTCCTTGAGCTGGGCATCCCATATCTTTTTTTCACAATGAGGAAACTGAGGCTCAGGCAACCGATGTGACTTACCGAAGTTAGCACAGCCTGCAAAAAGCTGGCCCGGCACTCAAATATGAGAGCATATTCCAGACCTCTTTCTTCCCTTTGCTTCTTCCCTCTCCCAGAACAAAAGTGAAAGGATGCTTTCTGCCCATATCTATTAGTTAGTTTCTGGTTAGGACACAAACTGTTTTTTTTTTCTTGCTTTGAATCAGGAGAATTTAATATCAACAACATATAACCAGGATGGAGAAGAAGGCAGAAGGGACAGGCTGATTATCTTTGGGAAAAAGCTACTAGCCCAGGATGAGGAAAGGGAAGGATTGCATGATTCAAACTTGAGAGCTTGCAGGTGGGACTCAGGAGAGAGTCTGTAACCCTCTACTCTGAGTGCCACAGATCTCAGAAGAGGGCCTGGCAGCTGACACCCGCAAAGAGGAAGAGCGAGCTGGCTGAGGCTGGTGACTCCGAGAGGCTTCAGGAGGACAGACCTGGCATCCTGCAAAACCTGCTGACTGCAGCTGACTGTGGATGCCATGGAGTAACCCGACTGCAGGGGCAGATGGCGGGGAGCAAATCCCACCCTGGCCAGCCTGCCAGCCTCCTCCAGGGAGCCACTCAGAAAAGCCCTGTGGGAATCCCGTGGGCAAAGGAAACATGCACTTGGCTAGTCTCAGCTCAGCAGAATGAAGCCAAGGTAGAGAGGTGGGATGAGCTGGAAAAGGAGAAACTTGAAACTCAGTGCAGTGTGTGTGTGTGTGTGTGTGTGTGTGTGTGTGTGTGTGTGTGTTTATGTGTATGTGTGTGTGTGTGCGTCTGTGTGTGTGTGCAGGTGTGTGTGTCTCTGTGTATACATGTGCGTATGCGTGTGTATGTGTATGTGTGTTGTGTGTGTGCACCTGTATGTGTGTGTGTGTATATATATAAAACAAATGAAAGAAGGAGCTTTGTGTGTGTTTTCTACCTATTAGTTTCTTAACTTCCTGGAACTTCAGCTTCCTCACCTGACAAGGTAATGACAGAGTGAGAAGATGTGGAAACCAACAGTGTTTGCTTTATGATTAATTGTAATCACATGTTTATTTTTCTTTTTTTAATTGTAGAATGAGGAGTAAAGATGCTCTTGTACTTCCTTTCATATTTCTTTTATCCAGGCTTTGGCCATTTTATATCATATCCTTATGATATTTGAAAAAACTAGGCTGGACACAGCCCATACCTGTGCTTTGTCAGCACTTCGGAAGGCTGAGGCAGGCGGATCACGTGAGTCCAGGAGTTCAAGACCAGCCTGTCCAACACAGAAAACGCATCTCTATTAAAAATACAAAAAATTGAGTGTTGTGGCACACATCTGTGATTCCAGCTACTCAGGAGGCTGAGGCATAAGAATCACTTGAACCTGGGCGGTGGAGGTTGCTGTGAGCCAAGATCATGCCACTGCACTCCAGCCTGGGTGACAGAGAGATACTCTGTCTCAATAAATAAATAAGTGAGAACAACTAAATGCTACTAATTTGGGCAATTTATATGTACCCGAGGTAGAGAGAGACAGCTTCTATATTGATTCCTTTTGAATCTATGAAAATTTCAAAGAGAATAGCATTATGTTGTCAGGATCCCATTTTAATAGTTCTAATTTTGGACATTTCCAACTTGAAGTTTTAATGTTTTGCTAAAGTGATTATACTAATTTTGAATGCAGCAACATACTTTTGCAAAACCGTAACTATATAATAAGACATACTTGATTCTTTAACCCCAACTGCATGGTCTAGTTCAAACAATACATTGATAATGAAAACTGGCCAGTTTAGTAAGTGTGACAAAAAAAGCAGATATTTCAGTTTCCTTATAGAAGTAAAATAAGGATAATAAAACCTTGTCAGAATCATTGTGAATATCATAAATAATGTATGTAAATTTCTTGGCACCATTTAGTAGTCAATATATTGTAATTCTTACATTATTTAGGGGAAAGAGTTCTCTAAAGTGCAGAAAGAAACAAGAATTTTTGTTGAATATTTAGCAAACATACAAACACAATGAAGAAGTAGGGAGAATAATAAGGACTAAAGGAAGGAGAAAGAGGAGATAAAAGAAAAAAGGAGAAGGCCAACTATCGTTTTCCAATTGCCTAAGTCATAGATCGTGAACAACAAAGGATGCATTATTTTCCTGTCTCCTTGAAGGATGCTTGAAATTCAATGAGTTCTTCTTTTCCCACTGTTCGTATGTGTTCATGAAGGTGGATTATCAAGTAAAAGTAGAGGTAAAATGGCATTTCTGGAATTGCATATAGGATGCTGGAAAACCAAATCACAGGAGAGAAGATCTTCTGTTACTGAAGTCGCTGTGATTTGATTCTGCACTTGCCCATAATTGTTTCTTTATGAGGAAATTAGTTATACAATATTTAAAAGTTTATGTTGTGAAACCATACGGTAATAAAACATGGGCCTAACATGACAGTTTTTGGCTGTGGGAGGGAGTCGCAAGCCAAGGACATTGAGACAATCTAGTCTGGTGACGGTGTAGATATCCATGGCACTTGTCACTTAAACAGTCATGGGAAACCACTCCTTTCAACACAAAGACAAGGTAGAGTGAGCACGCCTAGGTCCTGGAGCACAACTAGGGTCAGGTTTCAAACCTGCCCTTGCAGAAAACCACACTTTGATAAAATAACTTAATCTCACTGATCCTCCTCTTCACCTATGAAGTTTTACTAACAATGCCAACCTTACATGATAGTAATGGGGATTAAATGGTATAGTAATGCATGAATAAATTAAGCACTAGCTACCTGCTCAAGATTCTATGTTAAGTTCAATAGGACATATATGCACAAGTAAAACAAACACATTAAAACACATTATCAGGCTGGGCACAGTGGCTCACACCTGTAATCCCAGAACTTTAGGAGGCTGAACCGGATGGATCACCTGACGTCAGGAGTTCCAGACCGGCCTGGCCAACATAGCAAAACCGCATCTTTACTAAAAACACAAAAATGAGCCAGGCATGGTGGTGCAGAGGCTGAGGCAGGAGGATCGCTTGAACCTTGGAGGCAGACGTTGCAGTGAGCAGAGATCACGCCACTGCACTCCAGCCTGGGTGCAGAGTGAGATTCTGTCTCTAAAAAAAAAAAAAAAAAAAAAAAAAAAAAAAAAAAATTATCTGCCCAGAGCAGGGAGGTGCAAGACATCTACCTATACATACATGCACATAAATGAAAGCTAAATAGCATTTTGAAAGTCAATAATAGGAGGGAGGAGGAATGAAAACTAATTCTAAAAGAGGAAGTATTGTGAGGCTTGATTTCTTTGAGGCATGGTGTAGTTTGATTGAAATATTGATCCATATGCTGCTGAAGTGGGATGATACTGTGAAGGGCCTTGAATACCAACAGAAGCACTGGGCTTTACTGGCTAGAGAATCTAAAATGACTATAGACTTTGAGTATAGGTAGTGGGCACCATGACTAGAACTAGACTTTAGGAAGAATAAGAATGAAATTCACAAAGAATGGATTCAGCTAGGAGAGGAAATTAAGGAGGCAACCTATGTCAGAAAGGAGGCCAGCAGAATTTGTTTACATGATGAACACCTCCCAGGATTTCCCAGGGAACTTTTAATCTTGTCTCCCAAGGACAAAGGGTGAGTAATTCTTTTTTATTTTATTTTATTTTTTTGAGAAAGGGTCTCATTCTGTCGCCTAGACTGGAGTGCAGTGGCATGATGTCAGCTCACTACAACCTCCATCTCCCAGGCTCAAGTGATTCTCCTGCCTCAGCCTCCTGAGTAGCTGAGATGATAGGTGTAATTCTTCCTGAGTCAACACATATCCATTTGCTCTGAAAGACAGTACAAATCTTTAAAAAAGTGCTGAATGAATTTAAACCTAAAGGAGGAATGAGAGATGAGGAAGAGGTACTTGTAGAAATCTCCAAAAGTATTTCTGAACCGAAGAAAAATTAAAACATGCAGCTATAGGTGTAAAGTCGCCTGCTATATGGACTTTAAATTTTAAGTTGTATGAAATATTTTAATCATCTATGTCTGAGGTCTAACTTTTCTCACCACTTGAGATTTATCTGCACATTTTCTAATACTTCTGAATCATTTTCCCTGAAAGAATCATCACTGCATATGAGGCTGCCATCAGGAGAATTGCCCAGTTGTGTTTTCAGAGCTGAGTCCTCATTTCTCTTGGAAATGAGCCCATTAAGAGAGACAAGGATGGTCCTTTAGCCTTTCTGAGGCAAGTGCATCCCATGTAGACCCCTGTGGGTGCCTCCTCTCTTCCTTGAAATCCCACTTTCCACATAACTTTTACAATAATGAAATCAATAGCCCCGGACTGGGATCCAGGTTGCCAGGGTTGTAGTTTTTGCTCTATAGATACATGATTTTTAGGTGAACATTTTTTAAGTTAAAGTCTGATGGATTCTTTAATATCTATAAAAGCAGGATTTGGATACCAGGAAAATCGGAGTTTCTGCGCAACCCGAAATTCCACACAGAATGTACGTGTGTGCTCTGCATTTTCCAGGGAGAAGATTCTTAGCTCTCAGCTTTCAATCACCTTCGTATTTGGGCATTTGAACAAAAACTTGACAACCTCCGTCAACGGATGTAATGTCAACCTGGGAGAATATGATGTCAACAACAAAAATACCTTCATTTAATGTCTTTTAAAAATGTTACTTGAGTTTTCGGATGTGTGTTTTGTTCTGTTCTCTTCTGCAAGCCAAATGGTTACATGATTTTGGTTTCTAAACACAAGATGTGATTCCCTTTCTATCATACTCAAGTTTTTGGGGCAAGCACTTCACTCAGAATGCCTTTCTCTAGACATTAATTAAGAAAGGATACGACCATCCATATTCACACCTGTAATCCAGATGTTGCTGAGCGTACCGCTGCCTCCACGGTAGTTCACACATCACTGCCACATTGAGAGTTCGTAATTCATTATGCTGTGAGTGTTTAAAAGCAGGATAAGAATAGAAAATCTTTCAGCAGCTGTCAAGACGGCAGGAACAACATGCCATTGTTAGGCAGCATTGACTGTGTTCAGCCTTACTGTTCTGGAGCCTGGCCAGCCGGGCTTGCACGGCCGCCTGTGCAGAGCTCCGCTTCTCAGTCTTGGTACTAGACATAATGTGCTTGAAAACTCATTAGTGTACAAACCTTAAGAAAGATCATTATAATAAGTGTCCCAGCAGCAATGATCTAACCAAAGAGACCCTTTGTACACCAACATAGCGTGGTGAATTGGAAACAGAATGTACCAATACTTACAACCCTGCTGAAGGCGTGCTCCAAGTGCAGTTCCCCTTGAAGATGAAGTGGGCATAGATCCACATCATGGCCAGGCTCAATGTCAAGTGTGAACACAAGCATCTGAACAGTCAGACTCCGGGCCACACTCCCCAGTGGTTCTTTTTTTTTTTTTATACTTCCCTGTCTTGTGTAGATGATATCATATTTTCTGGCAGATTGTTTGCCTTTTTTGGCATAATGAGAAAATAATTCCTTAGGAATTAGTTGAGGTCTGTTAGTTGATATTAGTTGTGTTAACTCCCCAGGCAGACGAGGAAAATCATGAATGTTAAGAGAACGAACATGCAGATGGTTATAACCATCATAAAAACAAAATGAAAATTTGGGTTGCTGGATCACATACATTTAAACTTCTGATAGGATCTCACACTTCCAATGTAATTAAAGCACAAGTTTAATATATAATATTTTAAAGTCAATATGGAATATTGCAGAGTTAACTCCTGTCTTGCTAGAAGACTAGAATTTAACACAAAAGAAAACATAAGTTCCAATATTATACCCAAGCCAGTAACACAGACGTCTCTTTTTAGAAGAGACTTAGAGACTGTATTTTGTGTGTCTTATTCAGACATGTTTGTATTCCATAACATATTTTTTAGCAAGTTTGTGAATATATGTGATGCAAAACTTCATGTTAAATAATAAAAAAAGAGAAGTCTTTAGAAATGAACTTGGCAAAAGCCTTCAGTAGGCAACCCAGTTGAATCCACCATTGTACACAACTTCGTTTTTGGTGTTCAACTATGGACAAATCAATATGGTGGCAATTTCCTCAGTAGCTACCTTCCTGCGTGAATGGACGGCAACCAGTGGTACAGAAAGCAGCAGAATTCCCATCTGGTGTGAAGCAGCAACAGCATTTCTCCCTGTGACTTCCAGCCTCTTTCCCATGGCTTCTCCTTAACTTGTTTCTTAACTACCATTTTTCGGTTTCATCCACTCAAATGAACAATTCCTTTGGCCAATTATATCTGGTTTTTTCTGTTTCTCTACAAGCACCTGTATTGCTATGACTCCTGGACTCAAGATGTCACAGCTCCCAGAGGTCCTAACCAAATCCTGAGCACCTCCAAGCTGGGAGACCTTCCCGAGCCTATGCTCTGGGCTCCTGACTGAGCGATGGATGTTATGTGCAGCCTCTACTCAATTGCCCCAAGGTCCCCCCATGTTTTACCTTCCACGAAGGGAAAACTCACCTTGGGGACCTGGGGACCTCGAGCTAAATGATGATTGATCTGTTGCATGATGTGGATTGGGAACAAGGTTGGCAAATTCAATGCAGGCTATGACTTCTGGGATCTTCACCTCCCTCCTCCTCTAGCAAACACCTGGTGTCCTGGTGAGTTTGGAAAAGCTGGGCTGGCAGGGAGATTTCCTCTCCATTTGAGAGCTGTTTTAACAAGTATTGCTATTCAATCCTGCGCTAACATCAGTTATCTTTCTCTGTGTTTTCTAAGGAAATATAACTTGAGATTTTGAACACAGGACTCCAGAAGCCCTGAGAGAGCATAAAAAACACAGAATAAAAAAGGTGATGACCTGATTCGTTTTCATTGCAGTCCCTACCATGTACTAACTCTAACTTAATTGAGTCTCCTGACATCTTTGAGGCTCGGGTTTGTTACATAGAAAATAAAGAGAGAGGATTTTTCTACCTCTAAAACATTCTAATTTGCATGTATCCATATTTTAAATCACTCAGTTTGATAAAATAGTGCCTTCTAATTTTTCTTTTATTAAAATCTCATTTGGTACAAAGATTTCAAGCACAGAAGGCTAATGATATGGTCTGAGGTGTCCTGTAAGGCCAGCTGTGTTTGCCACAGTACTGGGCTGTAGCAGGAGATAATGTGCTTGGTCAGCACCCACAGTGCTTTTTCTGCAAGGAGGGAGTGTCCACAAAAGCCTCTAGGAGAAAGAGACAAGTGTTTGTATCAAGGCTCAGCCATCAAATACTTTTGTTCCATTTTTGTCTTATGCCATAGGTATTTTTTCCAATTTACTATTATGTTACCAATAATTTTAGAAAACTTAACTCCAAATATTTTAATTTTCACTCTAAATCTTGATATGTTATGCATCCTAACCACCTCACCCCAAGTAGCATGTTATAAGGGGAGGGGTATTGTTTCTTTCAGAGTAATGGACCCTAAACAAAGACAGGGTCCCTTAGAGAAAGGAAGGAAGCTTCAGTTTTAGGTCTTTCATTCTTTCAGAATGTTGGGTATGAGAGAAGCTGTGTGAGCCCTAAATACCAGCTGTCATGATTAAAGAAGGGGGCTGTGCTGAGATTCTCAAATGACTGAAATGAAACAAAAAGGCAGATGTTCCATTGTTGTCTTCTTAAGCAACAAGCCCGGTTTTTTTTTTCTTTGGTAGGAAAAACGGTATTTAAGACTTCCCGGGTCTGGGGAAAGGCTCACACTTCCCCGCCCACCTGCACAACCCTTGCAATTTGGCAGGCATGCTTGGGTTCCTGGTTCCCTTCTAGGCAAACCTGCAGAGATGCCCTGGTGGGGCCTCCGGTGCACAGGAGGCCCTGTGAGCTCTGGCTGCTGCTATGAGGGACAGTGGCTACCCCTGCTTCTGCAAAGGCCTGGCACTGGCCCCCCGGAGCCCTGCCGGAGCCACCAGCACCACTTGGTATTTGGATCACGTCTCCTTTTCCTAGTACCAATTTGAAAATGATAACAATCACAGCTATTTTTATTTCTCTCCAATGGAAGAGCAAGATTTCTTCTTCTCCTGTTTCCCTTTCTTGCTCACATATATTCAAAGACTGGCCTCTGGTTGAACTCCATTGCTCTGAAAACGTGCATCCCTCTGTGGATTAGCACAGCCGCAGAAACGCTTCCAGTTTATGAAAACTGCAAATTTGTATGGCAGATAAAAGTGTCTGCATGTCAAACTGAATATTCCCACAAAATGTGGAACTGCCAATTATTGGATAGTGAGAGAGTTGATCTTCTAGTTATCCATCCTGGAGGCTCTTAAAGCTTTGAGTCAGACCATGTAACATTAAAGGAAAGAAGCCACCTACCTTTTTAAGGTTATAAAAGATGATGGTAACGTATGTGTTGGGGGTGTTTGAGTGAAATATGGTATAGAAAGGCAGGTACACCTACCTTTTTGAGGTGGTAAAAGATGGGGAAGTATGTGCTGGGTGAGTGCACACCCCAACACCCCACTGGCAAGCCAAGGAGGCTTCTTTTTCTAGCAGCACCAAAGCATATGTTTGGGGTTACAGAAAAAATAAATGCATTTTCATTTGCTTTCAGTATGGTCGCAGTTCCCCAGAAATTAGTTAATGCCATTCTCACAAAACTTGTTAGATGACTGACTGTCTCCCCAAAGCAGGGGCAGCAGAAGCTGGTGGGCTGGCCTCTCGGATTCCATGTCACTCACAGCCAGGCTGTCATAAGCAAATTACAAACTACATACCTCATGCATGTTCAAACTGATCCATTTCTAAAACCCGTTTGACAATGAGTGCAGCAATTTTTTTTTTAACAATTATGAGGGAAGCGTTGTTCCCTTGATGAGATGAGAATGCACTCAGAAGAGATCAGAAAGTAGATGAAGCATTGATTACCGTGCCCCCTGGAAGAATCCTGAAGGAGAGACTTCACCTGGAGGAGATGCAGGGGCACAGAATACTTGTATTCAATAGGAAAATAGCTCAAAAGAAAGGCATCAATTCCATGGACTCCCTATGCCTCCTCTCTTTCCTCCCAAACTGAAGCAAGAACCAAGGGGGAAATTGTGAAGGAAAAAGATTTCTGTTGAAGACAAAACTGAGTCTTTCAAAAGAGTCGCCCATCGATGAAATGAACTGTTTGAGAAACTCTTAATTGAAGGAGGAGGTAGGGACGCTTTCCTTGAAAACTGTGGTAGTCTACTTAGTAGTAGAGAATGCCTTTTGAGGGTAGAGGAGGTGAGAATGGAACAGAGAAAGGATGGAAGGCACAGAGTCACTAAATGACACCCAGGAGAGAGCCCAAGAGGAGTAGTTCATGGGAGGCGGGAAGGTGGCAGTGCCCTGGGTACTACTCTTAACACTTTCTTTAAAAGACACTTTTCACTGGCCAGGCACGGTGACTCAAGCCTGTAATACCAAGATTTTGGGAGGCCTAGGCGGGCGGATCACGAGGTCAGGAGATCGAGACCATCCTGGTTAACAGGGTGAAACCCCGTCTCTGCTAAAAATACAAAACATTAGCCAGGCGTGTTGGTGGGCGCCTGTAGTCCCAGCTACTCAGGAGGCTGAGGCAGGAGAAGGGCGTGAACCCGGGAGGCAGAGCTGGCAGTGAGCCGAGATGGCGCCACTGCACTCCAGCCTGAGCGACAAAGCGAGACTCCGTCAAAAAATAAAATAAAATAAAATAAAATAAAAAATAAAAAGACACTTTTCATTAAAGATTCTCTCATGCTGTATTTGGTTGGGAGTAGGGGGGGCCAAGGCTCTCAGGTCCTGGCTCTTCAGAAAATTCCACTGTGTGGACTTGGTTGCAAGTCAGCCATTCTCTCTACTTCCCTCTTTCTGTCCTGTAATAGTACCTCAGGGCTGTTCTTTAGAATCAATCACATTTAGGTTTTGTTTCAACAAATTATCAACATAAAATATTTTGTATTGAAATATTCATTGGAGTTTCAATGAATGAGGGGTGGGTTTCTAAATGGCAACCCTAATTAATTTTTTTAGTTAAAAAAACCTCACAATTAAAAAGTCATCAAACTAAATGTTATCACCTCTCATCCAGAGTAAATATTCACAAGGAATCAAGTGGGAAAAGGGGTTTCCTAAATTGCACACACCATGCACCTTCTTTTAAAACATTTTTTTGAAAGTTAGTAGTTAACACATTTCAAAAAACTAGCTGCTACATCAAAACTATTTCCACAGATATTTTTGCTTAGATTGAGGCTGAAGGTAGAAATGTGATGCCTGAAAATGACTATGAAGTGAGTCATCACAAAGTGGACAAAGCGATGCAGAGAGAAGGCGGAAATCAAAGGAGTGGTGCGTGGATGACTGAAGTGGGCGTGACCTCGGTTTTACAAAAATATATACACTGGGAAACCAAAGGACTCTTTCATAAATAAGTGGGGTCATGTTTTACATTTATATGGAAGATTAATGACTTTAGGTATTTTGGGAGAATGGTAATTTCAAACTGTGTTTATTATAATAAAAACAGATTTTGAATAGAACTTTTCTCATGGTTTTTTAAAATGTTCATTTTTTAGATATAGTGGGTACAGGTGCAGTCGTCTTATATGGATATATTGCATAGAAGTCTGGGCTTTTAGTGTAAGCATCAGCTGAATAGTAAACGTTGTATTCACTGGGTAATTTCTCATTCCTCACCCCCTTCCATACTCCCATTCTGAGTCTCCAAAATGTTTTATTCCACTCTCCATGTCCATTTGTATGCATTTAGCTCACACTTACAAGAGACAACATGTAGTATTTGACCATTTCTGAGTTATTTCACTTAAGATAATAGTCTCTGCTTCCATCCGTGTTGCATGATTTCATTCTTTTTTTATGGTTAAGTAGGATACCACACACACACACACACACACACACAGACACACATATCGATCTATATATGTGTGTGTGTGTGTGTATACCCTACTTAGATTTTAGTTTTAAGGCTGAGTGTATAAAACACACACACACACACACACACACACACATTACATTTTCTTTGTTCACTCATCCCTTGATGGATACATAGGTTGATTCCATATCTTCGTTGTGAATAGTGCTGCTATAAACACACACGTGAAGGTAGTTTTTGATATAATAATTTTTGTTCTTTTGGGTAAATACCTAGTAGTGAGATTTCTCTATTGAATGGTAGTTCTATTTTTAGTTGTTTCAGAAATCACCTTATTTTTTGCTGTATGGTATCTTCTTTGGGTTCCATATACATTTTATAATTTTTTGGAATCATATTTTGATTTTATTACATTGAATCTGTAGATCGATTTGGGCAGCATGATTACTGTAATAATATTGACTCTTCTAATCCATGAGCATGGAATGTTTTTCCATTTGTCTTTTGTCGTCTACAATTTCTTTCATCGGTGTTCTATAATTTTCCTTGTAGAGGTCTTTCTCCTCCTTGGTTATACATATTCCTAGGTATATTATTTTTATTTTCATAGCTGTTATAAGTGGGATTGATTTCTTAATTTTGTTCTCAGCTTGCTCATTATTGGTGTATAGAAATCTACCAAATTTTTAATGTTAATTTTGTATTCAGAAGCTTTACTCAATTCATTTATCAAATCTAGAAGTCTTTCAAAAGAAACTTTAGGATTATCTAGGTATAAGATTATATCATCAACAAACAGGAATAATTTGACTTCCTCTTTTCCAAGTTAAATGCCTTTTATTTATTTCTCTTGCCTGGTTACTTTAGCTAGGACTTCTAGTACTATGTTAAATATGAGTGGTGAGAGTGGGCATCCTTGTCTTGTTCTAGTTCTTAGGGAGAATATTTTGAACTTTTCTCCTTTCAGTATGATGTTAGTTGTGGGTATTTCATATATGATTTTATTATTTTGAGGTGTGTTCCTTCTAGGCCTAGTTTGTTGAGGGTCTTTATCATGAAGAGATGCTGAATTTTATCAAATAATTTTTCTGCATCTATTGAGGTGTTCATATGATTTTTATTCTTAATTCTGTTTATATGATGAATCACATTTATTGATTTGCATATATTGACCCATCCTTGCATCCCTGGAATAAAACCCACTTGATTGTACTGTATTATCTTTTCGATATGCTGTTGTGATTGATTTGCTAGTATTTTGTTGAGGACATTTGCATCTACATTCATCAGGGATGTTGGTCTATAGTCTTCTTTTTCTGTTGCGTCCTTGGCTGGTGTTGGCATTAGTGTGAAAGTGGCTTGGTAGAATGAGTTACGGAGGATCCTCTCCTTGGCTTTTTGGAACAGTTTCAGTAGGACTGGTGTCAGTTCTTCTTTGTGCAGCTGAACTCTTTTTGTTGTTGGTAATTTTTTTTTATCACTGATTCCATCTCAATTTCCTTTAGATTTTGTAGTCTATGATCATAGAGATGTTCATAGTAGTCTCTGATGATCTTTTGGATTTCTGTGATTTCAACTGTAAAGTCTCCATTTTCATTTCTGATTGTGCTTATTTGAATCTTCTTTTTTCTTTCCTTGGTTAGTCTAGCTAGTGGTCTATCGATTTTATCTTTTCAAGGAACTAACTTTTCCTTTCATTGCAATCTGCTCCTGAGTGATCTTTAGGTAAATGACAAAATTAAGACAGAAATTATTTTAAATGCAAGAAATGAAAATGGAAGCAAAACATTCCAACATTTCTGCAATATCACAAAAGTGGAGCTAAGACAGAAGTTTATACTGTTAAATACCTACATCAAAAAAATAGAAAGATCACAAATTAACAACCTAATGTCACATCTCAAGGAACTACAAAAAAAAGAAAAAACACCCAAATCAAAGATAGCAGAAAAAAATAAATAACAAGATAGGAATAGAAGTAAATGAAATTGTATCCCTATTCTTATTGTTTGATGTATTAAAAGTAAATGTAATTCATGTGTTTTTTTGTTTATCTGCACTCAAACACTAATCAAATGCAGAAATAGTTTAGAAGCTTATACAATTTTGGACCTTTAACTTAGAATCAGATTTTTCATCTGATTAAACATTTAATGCTTAACAATATCAACATTGAGGTTGCTTTGAGCAGAGTCAATACATAATTTGCAAAGCTTATTGCAAAATAAAAATGAATTCATAAATAAAAAAGCCATTAAATAAATTAAATATAAAGCATTTTTCTTTATTCATTGGTCTGTTTTCTAACTTGTGGTGTTTAAAAATTTGCTATTTAATGTTTTTCTCAGCAAAAAAACTTAATAATTTTTATGTTTTATCATTCGCAAAACTAATTTCTAATAAAAATACCAGAGCATTTAACTTGCATATAGAATCACCAAAATGACTTGATTTACACTCCATAGCTCATACAGGTAAATGTATGTTGTTCTTACCAAATCATTGGAAACTCAGCCCAAAACTAACTCAACTATTTTTATTTCACTTCTTGATATTCTTGTCTTTTGCCAGCAATCTCTATCTCAGGCTTGAAGAGGAAAAAGATCTGTGGGCTGCCTTCCTTTCCCTTTCCTTCTATGCTCTTCCATTGTTTGTTAGTCGTTAGTAACAGAGAGAAATAGAATGAGTAAGAAAGAACATGATAGGGCTCTTCGGTCATTTGTTTTTCTTAGAACTTTATTACCTTCTGTCAGTGTTCAGAAAAGAAGGCTCTGGTTTCATTATAAACTGTGACCACTTGGGGCTTACGGCTGGCCCTGTTTACCCAGGAGAGGACATACCATGGTTAGGCTGCATTGCTTTGAGTCTCACTGGCCTCCTGATACAGTTTAGACGTGAGTCTCCTCCAAATCCGACGTGCAAATGTGATCCCCAGTGTTGGAGGCGGGGGCTGGTGGGAAGTGTTTTTATCCTGGGTATGGATCCCTGATGAATAGCTTGGTGCCCTCCCTGAAGTAATGAGTGAGTTCTTGCTCTATTAGTTTATAGTGAGAACTGGTTGTTTAAAAAACTCTGGCACCTTCCTCTCCTCCCTCTTCTCCTCTCTTTGTCACCATATGACACACAGGCCCCCTTTCCCCTTCTGCCGTGAATGATAGCTTCCTGAGGCCTTCACTGGAAGGCCTGCAAAGATGAGCAAAGATGCTGGCGCCATGCTTCTTGTAAAGCCTGCAAAACCATGAGCAAAATAAACCCTTTTTCTTTATAAATTACACAGCCTCAGGTATTCCTTATAGCAGTGCAAATGGTCTAAGGCACCTCCCATGCATCATACGTGGGTCCTGTGGAATACTGTGCTCACGATGGCATCGTGGACGCTGTGTAAGTGCAGAGCAGCAAGACACGGAGCTGGCCCCTGCGTTGTGGGCATTGCCTCTGCTGATACGCCTGCTGCCCTGTCTCATTGGACATCACTCACACAAATTCAAAGATAAAATTATTAAGAATCTCAAGACAGAGGAGCATTAAACCAAGCATGAGGTCCTTCTGAGTGTGGAGTCCAGTCCGACTTCACAGCTTGTCCTTGCATAAGGCCAGACCTGGTGTTGAAAAGCAAGGCTAGCAAACGTTTCAATAAAGTTAAAACAGTAAAACAATTGTGAAGCTTTGATGTAAAAATCAGTTGCTGAGAAGCTAGAACCATTTTTTAAAAACTCTACTAGGCCTGGGGCAGTGGCTCATGCCTGTAACCCCAACTTTGGGAGGCCAAGGAGGGTAGATAACCTGAGGTCGGGAGTTCGAGACCAGCCTGACCAATATGATGAAACCCTGTCTCTACTAAAAATATGGAAGTAGCTGGGTGTGGTGGTGTGCGCCTGTGATCCCAGCTGCTTGGGAGGCTGAGACAGGAGAATTGCTTGAACCCGGGAGGCAGAGGTTGCAGTGAGCCGAGATTGCACCATTGTACTCCAGCCTGGGAACAAGAGCAAAACTCCATCTCAAAAAAAAAAACAAAAAACAAAAACAAAAGAAAACAAAACTAAAACTCTACAAATGGTATCCAATTACTGTACATTTCTCTACTGTAGACATACTTTAAAATGCTCTTTTCTAAAAGGTGTCCCAGGTTTGTGTGAACAGCCTATTGATCTGTATTCCTTTCTCTTGCCCTTGATGCATGATGATTACCCAAGCCCAAGATGTATACGGCTGTTAATAAACAGTGATACGAAGTCCAGTTAATTGTGATTAATTTATAGATAACTCATATCACAGAATTTGATCGCACATTTGCTGTCATCTAAAACGTGGCTTTGTATGACTTTTTATCTGTTTATACCTCAATTGAACTATATGATTCTCGTAAATAGTTGATTATTTCCTGCCCTTAAGCCCCAAATAAGATAAGCATGATGTTTGATTTCCTAGATATATCGTACCTCAAATTGCAATCTCATAGATTACAAAGGTAAATTGAGAATTGTGAAGGTAAATAATGTCACTGAATTATACACTTAAAAATAGTTAAAATGGCAATTTTATAACTTTTTTTCAGAGTCTCACTCTATTGCCCAGGCTGGAGTGCAATGGTGCTATCTAGGCTCACTGCAACCTCTGCCTCCCACGTTCAAGCGATTCTCTTCTCCCTCCTCAGCTTCCAGAGTAGCTGGGATTACAGGCACCTACCATCACGCCCAGCTGATTTTTGTATTTTTGTAGAGACTGGGTTTCACCATGTTGGCCAGGCTAATCTTGAACTCCTGACCTCAGGTGATCCACCTGCCTCAGCCTCCCAAAGTGCTGGGATTAGAGACATGAGCCACTGTGCCCAGCCCTACAACTTTGTGTTGTATATATTTTCACACAATTTAAGAGATAAATTGATCCTAGTTTTATGATTTTCCAGAGTATTATGTAGGCATAAAACATGTGATTCTCAGCACATTTTTTTTGAATAAGAGGGCCAAGTAGTCTGTTCTCATTTTTTCTAGATAAGACAATGGAGGCAGATGCCACTAGTTACTGATAGAACAAAACGTTGAACTGCTAGACTCTAGTTCAATGTCTTTTTTAGTGCTTTGTTCTGCTCCTTGAAAAGAACTATGTATTAATAGCTGTCAGTAACTATTTCTCCATAGTGAAAATAAAATAGCTATTTCACAGTTATTATAAATTAGATCTATCATTTTATTTGTAGTGCTTACTCCCACACCTCACGTTTTGTACATAATGATTAAAGCCGCCTGCTTTTGCAGACTGTACCCTTCCTTCCCTGAGTTCAGAGGTCTACTTTTATGAATGCTTTAATTCGGTTAGCATTTGCTTATTAAATGCCTTTGTGTTGAATTTTTTTTTTTTTTTTTGATAGAGTCTTGCTCTGTTGCCAGGCCGGAGTGCAGTGGCGTGATCTCAGCTCGCTGCAACTTCTGCCTCCCGGGTTCCAGCGATTCTCCTGCCTCAGCCTCCCAAGTAGCTGGGACTACAGGCATGCGCTACCACGCCCAGCCAATTTTTGTATTTTTAGTAGAGACGGATTTTCACCATGTTGGCCAGGATGGTCTCGATCTCTTGACCTTGTGATCCGCCCGCCCCAGCCTCCCAAAGTGCTGGGATTACAGGTGTGAGCCACTGTGCCCAGCCGGTTTTTGTTTTCTGTGGTGATAAAGACTGACTTGAAAAAGCTCAATGTATTTTTCCATACTTTTCAGACTTCCTAAATTTTTTTTTTTTTTTTTTTTTTTTTGAGACAGGGTCTTGCTCTATCACCCAGTACAGTGGTGCAATCTTGGCTCACTGCAACTTCTGCCTCCTGGGTTCCAGCAATCCTCCTGCCTCAGCCTCCCAAGTAGCTGAGACTACAAGTGCACACCACTATGCCTGGCTAATTTTTGTATTTTTTGGTAGAGACGGTGTTTTAGTTTTATGGGCAGGCTGATCTAAATTCCTTCTTATCTTAATCATCTGCTATGGAAATATTGTTTTGGTTTCTAGGAAGACTAGCAAAACTCCACTTTTTCTGTTCTAGAAAGTCTCTGAGACTTAAAATAAATGCCCTGCTGATGCTTATCCTCAAGTCATTACCCAAGATCAACTTGAAGAAGCAAATTTCAGTTTCTCTAAATTGCTGATTGAAGATGCAGTGGGTTCAAATTGTTTGTATTGCCTGTCTATAGGCAATTTGTAGGCGGCAAATCCCCAGGGGATTTAAAAAAAAACTAATATAGAATTTACATAATGACAACAAAATGTTAGCATGATGATTCCAGTGGCATGTTAAAAGATCATAGAACGTAACCACGTGGGGTTGAGTCTCATTAATGAAAAGGACTATGTATTAATTAGGGCAAAGGCTAAGATGCTCGAAGAGCCTCTCAAGTGCAAAACCTTTAATATGGAGTTTATTTCTCAGTTAATGTTACAACTGATTCAGGTTTGGTGGGCGGAATTCCTCTTGAGGTCACATAAAAGCCCACATTTATTTTCTCTTCTAGCCGTTTCACTCCCAGGTTTTGTCTTCCATTTGTAGACTTGAAGATGCCACCACCATGTATATGGTTCCAGGCCGTGGAGAGGGGAAATATTTCGTAACAAGAGCAGTGACTGTTTTATACCTAGTTTCTTGTCACATTCAACCGGCAAAACCCTGCTCACACGGCTCCACCTACCTAGAAGGGAAGCTAGAAAAGGTTATCTCTAGCTGGGTGGCTGTGTAATCAGGAAGGAAGAAACAACTAATGACCTATAAAATAGCTGTGCAAACTCTTCTTCCTGTACATAATACACTTACCCCAAGGCAAGAAACCTGAACTTTCATTAGACTGCATCCAGATAAAAGTCCAGGATTTTGAAGAATGTAGCGCTTTCTCTGCAAGCTGTGAACATAGAGCCCCACTGTCTCATGATCTTTAGATGACATAAATGACCCGTTCGCTACTAACCAAAATATATGGCAGATCAGGAACAAGAGTATCACAATAAAAATCTCCACTGGAAAAAAGTAAAAAATGTGAGATACAAAATATCACAATTCATAAAATCAGTAAGTCCTGTTTGGGAGGAGCTCTAAACCCCAAAACCCAGCGTTAGTGTATGTTCCTTGGTGAGACCCTAGTTCTACTCTCTGGGAAGGGCTTCCTTGTCCAAGGTAGTCTGGGTCACTGGCTTTGTCATCTGTGAGCTCATCATTCTCTGTTACCCCGCCTGGCCCTATTTGAAAGGGATCTCATACAGTGCTCCCTCTATGAAAGACATACTTCTTTTGTAGATTACTTCCTTCTATGGTGAGTTTGGGAGTATAAAAGTTGCTTCAAAGATTGAAGTGAATATTCATTAAATAATGCAAAAATTGATTGTGTTTTGCTTTATTTATTTTGGTTGTACTCTGTGCCAGTTAGCAACCCTCGACATTCTTACCTGGATTTGCTTTTGAAAAACAGATTTTCTTATTTATATTCTCCAATGCTGGGCTCATTCTTCTTTTCTTCATTTTAATAGTAGCTACTTGGAAATTTTTGAGACACCTATCACCACGTATTTGACAAAAAAAAAAAAAAACCTAAATGAAAGAACTTGACAAGAAGCATTAACTATACACATATTTCCTGCTGTTTGCGATAGAAAAGCAACTGCCTTTTCCAAATCTGTGAGAGTCTAATTCCAACTAGACTCTGTTGCCATACATCTTTGTTTTCAAAATCATGATTATTTTCTTAAGCTCATCTCTTTCTTGCAACAACTTGTCAAAATCAGAAAGGAACAAATAACAGATATTAATATTTTAGGTCTTCCCCTTTGCTGCTTCTGCAGTTATTTTCACTACAGAAACATGAAATACCTCCCTGGTTATTACAGATTACAGTTTTAAGTAAATTTATTTTCATGCTATAACAAGGGTTCTATATCTGGGATGTTTGTTTCCTCACTTCTCATTTTCTAATTGTTAAGAAAATCTACACAGCTTTTACTTAGAGGTTGAAAGGCCCTCATGACCAAATCGTCTCTGAGAGGTCCCACCTCTTAATGCTATTGTATTAAGCATACTATATATATATGTATTAAACATACAATACGTCTCTGAGAGGTTACTTAATATAAAAGCAAGCTGCTTCCAGGTATTGATTATAGATATAATAAACATAATAATTCAAAATATTTAAATATATTTATTGGTAACAAAAATGTTATTTGATATAGCCAATTACTGAATAAATAATGGTAATAATAATACAGAAACAGATTTGTACATTACCAACATGATTAAAATTCATGCTTCCCAACATTTAACATGGCTCTGGCAATGCTAGCTAAGGAAATTAAATATGACAAAGAGAACTTATTGATTTTGTAAATACATGGGTAGAAACAATATTTGCAGGAACTATGGCTATATACCTGGAAAATCCTTCATTAACTTCTATTACAAAAAAAAAACTGTTTTTTCTCCTAAAGCCAGCTCCTTTTTATGTTCACCAAATCCCATTGCCTTCATTTTCAGGGCCTTTATACTGTTAATGACTGTTAATCATGTCTGCTTTCCATTAACTCCAGGATGGCTCACTCCTTATTCTCTCCCAGTGTCATTGAAGGTCTTTCATTTTAGGAACCCTTCTTTGATTCCATAATACCCTCTGATTTTTTTCTCTCAGATCTTCTTTCTCTTATGCTCATTGTCTTCAAAAGTGTTTTCCTCTAAATAAAATCTTCCACTTTCTTACATCTTTTTTATTCCTCAATCCCCTTGCTATGGCCTAAATGTTTGTGTCCTTCCAAAATTCGTAAGTTAAAATTGAATCCCCAATACAATAGCATTAAGAGGTGGGATCTCTCAAAGATGATTTGGTCATGAGGGCCTTTGCTAATGAATGGGATCAGAGCCCTTATAAAAGAGGCCCCAAGGACCTTGTTTGTCTCTTCTGCCATGTGAGAAGACAGCAGGAAGGTACCATCTTTGAAGCAGAGGGTGAGCCCTCATAAGACATCACACCTGCTGTTGCCTTGATCTTGAACTTCCCAGCCTTCAGAACTGTGAGCAGTAAATCTCTGTGATTTATAAAGTGCCCAGCCTAAGGCATTTTGCTATGGCAGCCTGAATAGGCTCAGAAGCCCCTTCAATTTGAATTCAGCTTCTACTATTAAACCAAATCTATTCTCACTAATATCATCATGAAAACCAGTGACCACCTTTTAGTTTTCCTGTGTTGAATTCACATTAGCAACCAAATAAACTATTCATGCCAACCTTCAAAATTATCTCTAATTTTTTTCTGAATTGATCCTATGTTCTTATGGTTTATTTTTAATTCAATATTTTTATTAAATAATATACTTTTTATTCTCATATTTTACTAACCTAGTGTAAGCCACGATTATTTCTGTATTTCTGTCCAATGTTTTGAAATAAGATTGTGTTTTCTGTGAATGATACAGTTGGAAGGAAGTTAAAGTATACATTTAGGTGTAGGGACATTGAACAGCTTGGATGTAAGTGTCAACTAGAACCATCGAATGTACTTCCTATGCTTTGAAAAGTTTAAGTGTTATCCCATTAGCAGAAACCTGCTTCTATATTCTGTTTATTGAAGGTGATTAATAAATATTTGATAAATAAAAATAAACCCATAATTATTATAGCATGAATAAAAATAATCTATACATAAAACTAGTATGGGCAAAAATAGACCAAAATGCAGGCTTTGTCTTTTGCAAAGGAGGAATATGGTTACATTTCTTCATTTATTTTGTATTTTTATATTTACTAAATTAAGGATATATTTATGTATTATAGTAAAATAAAACAGAATTTTCATTTGAGAATAAATACATCTTAATGCTCCTAGCTAAGGATGTGGCTGTAACATCTCACTGCCCTCAGGTTTTAGCAGGAGGGCCTGTGGAAATAGAACTTGGTGTGTTTTCGCACACGCACCACCAAGGATTCAACCAACGATTACACTTTGTTTTTCTCTTTATCTCCTTTCAAATATTTCCCTTGCTCTTTTTTTTTTTTTTTTGTGACGGAGCCTTGCTCTGTCGCCCGGGCTGGAGTGCAGTGGTGCGATCTCAGCTCACTGCAAGTTCCCTTGCATTTTTAAAGCTTCATATCATTGATAATTTTAAAGGATAAGTGCTTGTCATTTTGGAGAATGTCTACAATCTAGATAAGTCTGATTATTTCCTTTACGTTAAGTAGTTTAGGTAACATACTACGTAAGCACTTTTTTTTTTTTTTGTAATTCCCATCGCCTTACATCAGAGGAAATCTGATGCCAGGTTGCTCCAATATTGGTGATGCTAAATTTAACAACTTGAGGTATTGTCTGCCAGGTTTGTTCACTGTAAAGATACATCGTCGTTTGTAATTAATAAGTAATCTGTGACAATAATATCCGATGATTTTTTTCACTCATTGATGGTTCTTGCCTGAAACAATTATTGCACTTATTTTGTAGTTCTTTCATTCCTTCTACGTTTCAATATTTACTAACTGACATTCTTCTGTGAAGTAGAGCTTAAACCATTCCCTGTGTATTCATTTTTAAAAAAATCTTGATTTCTATCCATTTTATTTTCAATCTATTATTCTTCATTGGTATCATTAGTAATTTCATGGTGAAATTGTTTCAAACTTAGTCAGTAGGAACCCCTTAGAATTATCTTTTTACCTCCTTATTCATAGTTTTCAAACCTTCTATTGAAGCTTTCTACACACACACACACACACACACACACACACACACACACACAAGACTTACTGAAACTCTCTACAGTCTCAATTAATTTTCACAATTTGAGCCCACCTGTGTACCCTGCACTGAGCTCAAGAGGCAGAATCGCAAGCCCTGCAGGAGCCCTCTCCTCCTCCCCTCCAGCCACACCCCACATCCCATAAAAGTTTGAATATTTTCTTGTTTTCCAGCATGAGATGTCCTACACTCGCTTGTACCTTCCTGGCCTCCAAGCTGGCAAACTGCTTCTTCCAGGAACTTCAGTTCATTCTAGTGAAGAGTGGGATTTGGAGATCAAGATGTAAGTACTTAAACCTATTTAAACGCCGTCTTTTAATATGAACATATATTTTGTATAAATATAAAATTTAAACATAAATATGTTAGAAGCATAGTGAGAAATTTACAAAATACAACTGATGGAACAAGCAAAAATAGAAGCACATAAAAGGGCATGTAATCTTCCTTGAGGCGAAAACTAAGTCCTGTAAAATTTGTAATCTTCTCAAAATGAATTAATGAGTTAATGAAATTAGAAGCCAAATCCCCTATTTTTTAGAACATCATAGAAATATTCCTATTCATTTGAAGGGAAATACAGGAAACTATTGGTAAAATAAAATAGACATAATGGGGCTAGAAGACATGAAAGTACATTTTAGCTCTGAAATAAATAAAGCAGTGTGGTATTCACCTAACAATGGACAAAGAATAGAATTATTTCAGAGAAACAAAATAGCATATTGAAGAAATTAGTACAGTACAAATCAGGGGGGCAAAGATGGACATATTAAATGATACTGGAGAAATTGCTAGCAACTTGACAATTGTAATACTAATTTTCATCATTTTAAGCTTCAGACTAATCAGATTTATTTGTTAAAAAAGTAAATATAAGGAGAAAACGTCAGTAATTGAACAGTGGAATTTAACAACTTGCAAGCATAAACATTTCATGACATTTTTACATTGAATAGCATCATAAATAGAATTAAGAGGCATGTTATACATGAATAAAAATTTTGGATTATTACGAAAAATGTGTTTACAATAAAGAGCACAGCAAGGAGATAAACAGCTCACATCATAGTGTGAACAGTCAAGGTAGTTTTCAGAAAAACAAATGAGTAAAAATGCCAACAAGTAAAGACACCTTTCACATGTCACGATGACATGTTTTTAAGCCTCCAGGTTTGTCAAGGGTGCAGTGAAAAAGGAACTGATACACTGCTTGGGAGAAGCTAAGCTGGTCATAGGTTTCTGAGAGCTACTTGTGAAAAGGGCCCCACGACCCTCAACATGACTCTACAAGTTTATCCTGGAATTTCATGTCTAGATTTTAAAAATGAAAACATTACGAGATAAGCACGGCCATTTTGAACGAGTGTTTTATATATTACACACTCAAATGAGAGAATGCTGTGCAGCCATTGTCATGCATTTGAAAAATACTTCAAAACATTGAGATATATTCAAAAGATTCAAAAGCATACAACATTAAAAAACACATAGACTATTTCACTACACATGCACTCAAGAAGCATATACCATTTGGAATATCTATATACTTAGTATGTATATGGATGTATATAGCTATACAAAAATGAAACTATGTCACATATATGACATTTTTGTTACCCATACACCTGGTCAAAAGTGTTTGAAAGCATATATCACAAATATTAACACCATTTTTTGGGGGGTGTGATATGATCAATGTAATTTTAATATGTATTTGCATTTTAAATTTTTAGAAATGATCATATACTGCCATTATCTAAAATATTAGAAAAAATTTAAAAATTATCTTGCAAAGAAAATAGACTTCTCTCTTCATGGTTGCCTAAGAAGATGCAGTATATAACTTTTTAAAGATTTGCACTTTATGAAGATATCAGTCTAAATTAGAGCTAATATTTCTACTCACTTGATGAATAAAAAGTGAAAACTGTGGTCAACCCCAAATGATGTTCTAATTTTTTAAAATTTGTGAAGAATGTAACACATTCACGTTTCTGTCTATAAATGTAACATATTCACATTTCTGTCTATAAAATAAGTATGAATAAAAATATCTCCATATCACTTTGAAGTGACTTATGTCAGCCAGCTCTCACACTAGACTTTGGAAGTTGAAATTCAACTGCTTCTCTTATTGGTGGTGAATCTGTACATGCAGCAACCTCAGTTCTTGCCTCCTCAGAGAAAGGGAAAATAGGTGCCTCAGAGGCAACTTTTAGCACAGGAGGGAAAGTTTACTAAAAAGCTTTAGAGCAGGAATGAAAGGAAGGAAAGCACACTTGGAAGAAGCCCAAGCGGGAGACTTAAAGGACAAGTGCAGGGTTTGACCTTTGTCTTGGGTTTTACATGTTGACATGCTTCTGTGTCCAGAATTGGTGGGTTCTTGATCTCCCTGGTTTCAGGAGTGAAGCTGCAGACCTTCGCGTTGAGTGTTACAGCTCATAAAGGCGGTGCAAACTCATACAGTCAGCAGCACCAAGATTTATTGCAATGGGCAAAAGAACAAAACTTCTACAACATGTAAGGGGACCACAGCAGGTTGCCCCTACTGGTTGGGGCAGGCTGCTTTTATTCCCTTATCCATTGGCCCACTTTACAGAGAGCTGATTGGTCCATTTTACAGAGAGCTGATTGGTCTGTTTTACAGAGAGCTGATTGGTCCGTTTTGACAGAGTGCTGATTGGTGCATTTACAATCCCTGAGCTAGACATAGAGAGTGCTGATTGGCACATTTACAATCCTCTAGCTAGACATAAAAGTTCTCCAAGTCCCCACTACATTAGCTAGACACAGAGCACTGATAGGTGTGTTTACAAACCTTTAGACCCAAAGTGCTGATTGGTGCATTTACAATCCTCTAACTAGACATAAAAGTTCTCCAAGACCCCACTAGACTCAGGAGCCCAGCTGGCTTGGCCTAGTGGATCCCTCACCACGGCCACAGGCGGAGCTGTCAGCTCTCTGCCCCCCACATTCCTCAGTCCTTGGGCAGTGGATGGGACTGGGTGCCGCGGAGCAGGGCGTGGTGCCCATCGGGGAGGCTCAGGCCACTGCGGAGCCCACGGTGGGGGCAGTTTGAGGGGGGAGGCTCGGGCATGGCGGGCTGCAGATCCTGAGCCCTGCCCCCTGGGGAGGCAGCTGAGGCCCGGCGAGAATTCGAGTGCGGCGACAGCGGCCTGGCACTGCTGGAGGACCCAGTGCACCCTCCACAGCTGCTGGCCGGGTGCTAAGCCCCTCACAGCTGTGGGGCCTGAGGTGCCGGCTGGCAATCCCACACTCGGAGCCCACAGAGCCAGTGCCCACCCGGAGCACGCCAAGCGCAGCCCCAGTTCCCACCCACGCCTCTCCCTCCACACCTCCCCACAAGCAGAGGAAGCCGGCCTCGGCCAGCCCAGAGAGGGTCTCCCACAGTGGCAGCGGCGGGCTGAAGGGCTCCTCAAGTGCAGCCAGAGTGGACCCCTAGGCCGAGGAGGCACCAAGAGCGAGCGAGGGCTGCTAGCACATTGTCACTTCTCACTTCTAGGGTCTTGCCTCCTTCTCCGCTGATTCTTCCCTTGGGGTGGGCTGCCCACCTGCGTGGTGAGATGCTAAGGCTAGGGAGGGGAGCATGGCCAGTGTGATTACTGGAGTTGTACACATGCTGACCTGGCAGGTTCCTCCCTTTCCCCTGGAGTGCCCTGGAAGGTCGTATCTCGGACTTCGGCATTTTGCCTCTTAGGGCGCTTGTGTGAACCCACTCACCCAGCTCCCCAGATCTTATCAGGAAGCTGCTCATCACCAGCTTCAGGTTTTTTCTATCTGCAGGGAAATTGCCTTTCCCTGGCGCTGTCACCAGTTGTTATTTTAGACAGGCTGTGTGACAGCTGCCTTCAATCCCTGTGGGCAGCGAGGAGCCCGGCCATGCTGGCCCCCTGCTGTGCAGTCTCGGGGGACTTGGGGGTCCTCACCGGCCCTGGCCCAGAGGCCCCAGGCAGCACCCGCCTCAGCCCCCACGCACCTCACTGAGCAAACCCCAGGGCGCCCGTTGGTGTCCTGAGATGACCGCCTCTAGCTGGGCTGTCATTTGTTCTCAGGAGAACACCCCGTCCTTCTCCATAGCTGACAGAAACTGGGACCCACAGTGCACACACCCTGAGCCCTGGCGGGACACATGCGCCCCTGCGCCCCGGCCCCCTGAGGCCCGGGCGACCTCAGCTCCCTCCCTTGGTGCTGGTTTTACTGTGTTCCTTGTAGGGATTAGAGCCAAGAGGAAAATGAATATGCTTGGAGTTTCATGGTAGCTTTTTATTTTTCCTTTGCATTCATGGGCTGCTACAAATCAGATTTAGATGATCCCAAGTATGCGTACTTGATTCTTTCACATACTGGCGTGGCATTTGCCAGAAAACTGAATGTATTCATCTAAAAGGCAACTTTAAAAGAAAAACAACTCTACTCCTTTCAGGTCGTGGGTGTGGTCCTTTCTGCGTCAGCGTCTTCACTGCTGTGCACCTTTCATTCTCTGTGGAAAAATGCTCACTTCTAGACTGTCCGTCTACCCGTTTTTTTTTTCTTTTTTTTAAGGCAAAGCTATTCCTCTTGTAAGTAGGCATATTTTATTATGGAGATGCCTTTTCTAATTCGAACAAAACAAATTTTGTTTCTACTTACACAATTTAATTGTGTATATTGTCAATATTGTCAGTCATTAACTTGTCCTGCCGATAGATGTTCCAATGCAAGGAAACTGCAACTGAAATGATACAGAAGAGTGTCATACAGTATTTACACTGAATAAGCACATTCCCATTTTAAATCAAGCACATCTGCTAATTGCCAGCGTGTTCCTATATTAACAAAACACGCAATTTTCTAGGAAGTTGTATTGTTGCTAACAGTATAATAATGCAGTTTAACTTGGCTCTGTTTGGAAACACAATGCCAGTGAACCTTGCATTTTGTTGTCATTGGCTAGAAGCCACGGCTTTCACTCAGCCCCTGGTCCTAGAGCTCACATCCAGTCTGGAAGAGACCAAAATTTCTGTATATGGTTGGAATCCTGAAGGCCTGACAGATATAGCACCATAAATCTAAGATCTTTTAATTTTTTTTTGGAAGTTAAGAGTTTAAATACCTGTTTTAAAGACATTATTACATTATGACAGATATGCAAAATGACTTTGCGAGAAAAACCAAAAGTTAAAACTTAAGAAAATTCCATATCAACAAGAGAAAACAAGTATATTTATATTCTTTGACCTAAGTATTTGTATTGCATCTTACAAGTCTTTTATTTTATTTTTTATGTTTTATTTCCATAGGTTTTGGGGGGAACTGGTGGTGTTTAGTTACATGAATAAGTCCTTTAGTGGTGATTTCTGAGATTTTGGTGCACCCATCACCGGAGCAGTAAACACTGTACCCAATTACAAGTCCATTTTAGAATGCGGTGAATATACTCAGAATGCTTGATCTTTTCCTGAGTACTTTATCAATTCAAAAGTATTTTCCTTTTAATTTTTCCTACCAGTTATGAGGTAGGAGGCATGACTTGACTCCAGAGCCAGGACTCAGCGAACCAGAATGAGGACTAGCTAAAACAGGACCAGGATAAAAGTATCTTTCAGACAAATATGCCCACCAGTGTGCCATGTCAATTTACCGTTGTCATGGCAACACGTGGGCATTACCATCCTTTTCCATGGCAATAACACAATGATTCCTACTCCTTTCCTAGAAATTTCTGGATGAACTGAAATCTGCATGCAATTAAAAGTAGGTATAAATGTGACTAGAAAATTGCCCTGAGCTGCTACTCTGTGCTCATGGAGTATCCCTGCTCTTCAAGAGCAGTCACAGAGCAGTAACACTGCCCCTTCAACAAAGCTATTTTCTTCTATCTATGGCTCGCCTTTGAATTCTTTCCTGCGCAAAGCCAAGAACCCTCACTGGCTAAGCTCAACTTTCGGGTTCATCTGCCCTGCATCCATTGTTTTCAAGATGGTAGTGGAATAAGACATATATGCAAACTTAAGTCTCGTTATTTCCCATAAGTAATAATGGATGACCTATAAATGTCATGATGTTATAGAAGAATTAATCTCTGCTTGATAAGGTGTCTTATGAAACACATTCTTCAAATCTCTAAAATAAAGAATTGAGATATAGTTACATTAAGGGGAGAAAACTAAGTGATCATACCTCATCTTAGTAAACATCATCAATGGTGTTCATGTTTAAGATGATTATCCAGATTCTTTGTTCTGGGTGTTAGTGGAAGTGGCAGTTTTCAGGGGCTAAGAAGAGCCTCTTGGAGTTCTTGGTTTGCAAGCAACAGAAAGCAACGAGGGTGAGCCTTAAGCAAGCTAATGAGAAGAACAACAATTTCTTTATAAGTAGAAAAAGGAATAAAAGATAAATCTAAAGAAAGAAACAAAGCTCTTCCTGAGTCTGTTGACTTTGGCTCTGAGCCCTACCATTAACTTAAACCCTCAATTTCATGTCTCTATGGTTCTCGGTAAAAATTGTAAACAAATGGAACATGGTAGAACTTGATAAAAGATGGTCAGTGTTTTGATGAAAAATTGAAGAGACTTGAGTGAAAGAGTGGCCAGAAAGTGGAGACCAGTTAGACATTCCAATCAGTGCCCACTGGGCAAAGTCTACACCACAATAGACTTTGGGATCCTGTTTGATATGCAGGAGAATGAATAACACATGTATGGATTTCCTTCTCTGAAAGGCATTATAGTAGGACTACTGATAGATATTTTATTTAATCTTCACAATAACCCCATGAAATACTCATTTTTCTCTACATTTAATGTGAAGAAAATGAGGCTTGGAAAAGGCAAGTGCTCAGCAACAAAGCTAATGAGAGGCAGGATGTGTATTTAAACACTCGGGTCCACCTGACTCCAGACCCTTCCCGAGAGAAACGACATTTATAGAAATCCCTTCCCACTTTCATCAAGGCATAGCTGTGCTCTAAAAGTCATAGCAGGAATACAGGATCCAATGAGAGCAGCCTATTTAAAAAAGCTCTATTTCCCCCTGGGTTTTCTTCAGAATAATTTGAAGATAGTAGAAGTTGCACAGGATAATGGCTAAGTGCATTGCCAGTGGGGCCAGATCAGCAGGATATGTTCCTACCTGTGTAATCTTGGCCAAGTTAATCAGTGTCAGTTTCCTCATATATAAAATAGAGATATGAATAGTGTCAGCAATATGATTGCTGTATGGATTCCATAAATTGATCTACAGAAAATATTTACCACACTGCTTGACACTAGCATAAAGATCGACTTGTTTTGTGTATATTTTTATCATTATTTTTATTTATTATTGTTTTAATTTTGCTTTGTGTGTCAGATTGAAAACTTTGTCTCTGGTCTTTACCCCATTTTCATGGGGGGCGGGTAGATGTCAGTAGCTCCTCTTAGTCCTGCTTATTTTAGATCAAGGCTTTGATTAGTCCTGAGAGAGGCAGAGCTGTGTCGTGAAGTAGCCAACATTTCCGAATAAGGAAACAGAGAATTATGGAGGTAATAATAATAGGATCATCTTATATTTATACTTAAATTATTTCTTATTAATGCATTATGTCTTGCTTTTATTTGTCAATTGAATATTTATGATATATGCAAAGATTTACACTAGTGAAATTGTCATGAAACTTGGCATAAGTTGGTTCTTATGCCAACTTATGTGACTGAAATAGAGAAAACATTCTGAAGCTCATTTGGTAGCCGGTTCACTAAAGCTCAGAGAGTTTAATAAACAGGTACACAATGAAACCATTTTCCAATATGGAACTGGGACTTAAATCCTGGCTTCTTGGATTCTTCCCCATGTGGCACCGTCTTGCCTACATTTTATTTAGATGAGGTGTCACATTTCCCTATTCTTAGAAGTTCAGACTTGAAATTCATCAAGAAATAGCGTTTGAGCACATGGTTCCTAAACACAGAATGCCTAAACCTCAGGAAATTTCTCTTTCTCAAGCGTTATCTTAACAGAAGTGGAGGGCTACTGAACAAAGCGAATAGATGATTAAATATACAATAGGAAGAATACATATTTACATATACACACATACTTGTAAACATGCTCAGTGAGAATTTCAGGTCATTAGCAACAAAACAGCTTTGTGACCTAGGACTGGCAATGATACCTCCCTCTCTCGACAGCACTTGGCAATCTAATTTTTCTTCTGGTAAAACACCTTAATAAATTCACTGCTGGACTTAACAAATCGTTACAGACCATAGTTTGATTTCCTATTGTTTTACTAATTTGTCTTATAACATTTGGTTGCTAAAAATATATCATCAAAATGTTGAGCAAAACTAAAATCAAAAACTATCAAAAAAATCATGGCCAGGTCTGAAGGACATTGCATAATGAAAATAGAAAAGTTAGAAGAAATTCCCGTAGAGACAAACAGCAGTGTTCAATATGAAGGACAGAGTACATGCACATATATCATACAATCATATGTCAGAAATATTTTGAAAACACTTACAAAGGGAATGCAAACAAAAATCACCTCTACTCTCTTCACTTCAAAAATAACTGCAACTATTACGATATTTACTGCTCTGAATTCTAAACATTGCTTATATAAATGGTTCATAGTGTATAACTTGTTTTATAAGCTACTTTTATTTCACTCTATCTTCATACATAACTATATATATTAATATAACATCATCCTAAATGACTGCTTACTGTTTCATTTTACTTATGCACCACCATTTACTTCACCAAATCTGTACTATTAAATAAGTATTTTATTTTTTATTTCTGATACAATAAATGTGCTTGTCGGTAAGTATTCATGTAAATTCTTATTTCTCTTTCGTATAAAAATCTCAATAACAGAAGACCTCACCATGCACAGGTGTGGTTCTTGCTTCCAGAAATAATGTGAGATGATCCTCCATGATGGTGTTTGCCCATGTGTGTTTCTATCAGCACCATGGCGTGTTGCGTGCCGGCTGCCTGTGCTCTCCTGCTGTTGTCAAACATCATTTCAAACACTCTGTTCGTTTACCAGGAAAAAATGCAGTCTTGTTCTATATGAGAAGTTTGACTGAAGCCATATATGTATATCTCTGTGCATATCTGCGTATGCATATGTATTGGACTATTGGACTATATGTGTATACATATATGTGTATGTGTGTACATATATGTATATACATGCATATGTGTATATATATGCCTGCTCCTATATACACGTATATGTATTTGCATATGTATATACATATGCCTGCACATATATGCGTGTGTCTGAGTGTATGTGTAGCTGCATGTGTGCTTATATGAGTATATATGGACGTATTTGCTCATTTGCACGTGCATAGGCATGTGTGTGTACTTTAGCTCTTTGAGGCCACACGCTTTAAAGAGTGCCACACTTTGCCTCACAGTGAACATTAAAGTAATGGAGATGCCTTTTCCACCTCATGTGAGCATCATTTTCAGCACTGAGGAGGTCTGCACAAGGCTCCTGGGCCTGTGGTCCCGGCTCCATCAGACCAGGGCATAGAATCCAAACATTTCTACCTGCCTACATGAAGGATGTAAAAGACACAGATTTTCAAGTACAGATGCCAAATGAGGTGTTTCTTTCTCCTGATTTTTATGAGAATATTTTAATTTTTCTCTGATAAATAAATATTGTTGTTATTATTATCATTTGTCAATATGCAATCCAATGCGTAGATTCCCTTCCAGGTTCTCCTCTCACACGGGTCCCTGAAGCTACAGCAAACCCCTTGCACGCCCAAGGAGATCCACATTTGCTGCAGCCTTAACAATAATATGGGTCTCATTCAGCAACTGGGGGGAAAAAGGGAAGAATAATTTATATTGGAAACATTTTTTAAATTATAAACTCATTTCAAATCTGCAGGCACCTCCTGCCCTCTCTCCCTGAATCCTGCAGCAGAGCCACCGGGCCTTCTGCTCTGGGCCTACCCTTCCCCAGACCAAGGACACTTCCACTCTCAGTTTCTCCCACTCCCATCCTCCTGGTCACCACCTGGATGAGCAAAATTCACGCTTACCCAGCTCATTAGAAAGCAATGATCTTGTGGGAAATGACAAACTTCTATTATTTTCAATGTATATTTTTAAAGGCCTGTTGCAGTTACTAAATTGAATTATTACTTGGTCTCATCTAACAGCATGCCCATAAATGTGCATTCTCATTTCTTTCTGTTATTTTAAATGTTGCCTTGCCAGTAGGGCTAGGATAGCAGAAATTCTCCCTCGCCAGGACTAGCCCTGGAGACACGCTTCTGTATGTGCGCTCTGCAAACCTCCATTAAGAGCTGGGCGAGGGACAAGTGCCTGGGCCCTGGCTTTTCATTAGTTATGGTAATAGGCATACCATTGATGCCTGTGTGCCTGTGTGTGTGTGTGTGTGTGTGTGTGTGTGTGTGTGTGTGTGCGCGCGCGCGCCTGGGTCTGTTTCCAGTGTAACAATGGGCCTAAACCCAAGTTCTGTGCCAAAATCATATTCAGAACAAGTACTTTTAGCACAAAATAAGCATCTCTCAATTAGAGTGGGTTTACTTCCTTTTTTGCTGCCCTTATTGTAGGATTTGCTTCTGCAAAATTTATAGTCATGAGGCTAGAGCTGTTTAGTCCAGGCCTCCCATCTGGGGCTGGCTTCCCATGGGGTGGATTCTTATTTTATTCTGAAACTCCTCACACTTTATCAGTCACATGAAATGTGAGAATGTTTTTCTACCATTTTAGTGAGGCTGTGTATATCCAAGTAGGCTATATGATGGACTCTTTTTGTGCTATATATATATATATATATTTAAATCTTCCAAATACAGGACTAAAGCCCTTTAGGTATTTTTTATGAAGAAATTTGTAAGTATTTATATTCACTTCTCACTTTTCAATGATCTTTTTCTTCCTTTGGTGACCGTCAAAGGCTTCCTTCCCTACCTCTTTATATAATAAAAATATCTATGGAACATGTGTGTTTTGTGAATAGCAGAACTCTACTAGTTTTAAATTGAATGAAGCTCTATCTGTATCCCATTGAGTCCAACTTTCATTCTCATAGCCCCCTTCCAAATGTCCAGGTCAAAGGAGAGTCAAGCCTTGTCATGATAACTGGGTCAGTAACCAATTCTGTTTGTATTGTAAGTACATTTTTATGGAAAATTCTTATCCAATTACTAAGGCACACTGATAAAGAGATTGATTTTCCTGAAGCATAAACCTGACCATAACACTTCCCATTGCGAAACCCACAAATGACGTTCTACAGCCCAGATGCCTACACTGACGGTCAAAGCCCAACACGATGAGAATACACATTTCTTTATACTTTCTTTTCTCCCACTCCTCCTCATTTACCTGTACCCTAACCAAAATTGTACTTCATCATAATCATTTGCCTTGTGTCTTTACTCCATTTTTTCTTTTCTTTCTGTAAGGCCTTTCTTTTTCTGGTTACATGTATTTAAGTTCTTCGTGTCTATCACAGAATATGGTAAGTGGCTGTGTCCTTAAGAAAGTCTCTGTGACTCTCAGCATTAGGACTTTCCCTCTTCCCTGTTAGTCCTGGTACCTTTTGCTCCTTTAATCCACAAATACTCTGTGCCTCTGTCTTCTGGACTTAAGTATTTTATAACTTAGAATATAATTGTTTGTCCAGCTGGTAGAGTAATGGAACAGAGTGGTGATATCAGTATCTGGGTTATATCTGACTCACAGCCCTGCTACCTCATGTATTTGTTATATGTAGATCCTCCCTAAATTTCATCTCTCCTGTGAAAAGTGGGATAATAACCACTGTGACAGATTCTGTTGGTTGGTTGATCGGTCCAACCCCCTTCATGGGTGTAGAAGCTAGAAAGCCAAAAACAGCAATTTTCAGACTCAGCTGAAATTAAAATTTTAGATGTATTGTCAGATCTGCCAACCAGAATTAGTTGGAATTTTGGAGTTTGTAAATACATCCTATGGGTAGAGATGGTGTGTGGGAAACCCATTCTGTTTTTGTGTTTTGGGAGCTGCAGCTACGCTGGCTTTCAGAAACAGCTGTGATGTCCTGATTTTGGGAGGGCCAGTGGCTCCCCTGATGGCTCAGGTCTACACGTGATGATGGCCGTCCACATTCAGATCTCAGTCTAGAGCTGCTTTTCTTTAGTCCTTCTGGCAACCAATAAGTATAATAAATCTCTTTTTCCTTAAATTAGCTAGAGGAGATTTTTGTCTGTGCAATTAAAGTTAGAGCCATACAATAATCTTCCAGCGTGCCTGTTGCACTTGAATGAAATAATATGTTCAACTACCTAAAATAATCACTTACACATCGTAAATGCACTATCATCCTTTTCCAGTTAAAAATAATCCTACTTTATTAACACCACATTTCTTAGTTGTAGGATCATTCTGACATGAGCTCATTGAGAATAAGACCCATGGTTGATTAATCTTTTGTCTGTCCCAATAGCCAACAGGATGCATTTCTGCATAGCCGGTAACCAATAATACATTTTGAATTAAGAGGAGTAGAGGCTAATAAGAATATTTCCCATGTGATTGATATATTTTTATACCAATTAAACTGTCAAGAACCATTATAGATTCTACAGGTTTTAAAGAAGAAACAGAGAAAACTTTGTTTTTAGTCTCAATTTTTTACCTCGATAATCAAGTAAAATGCAAAAAAAGAGTAATGAGATACACAGCTTGATTTTAATTTACTCACTCAGTGCCTTGTCCACTGACAACACACTTCAATGACAGAGGGTAATAAACATAATCATTGTTTGACTTTTTTTTTTCAGAAAGTATGCTCAGAAGTCCTGTCTAAGTTGGTTTGTGCAGAATGCCAGAAAAGATTCTTGTATGGAAAATGTGAGCTTAGGAAAGTAAGCCCATCAGTAATGCTGGAATATGTTCCTAAAGCAATTCTACAAAGAATATGCCAAATTGCATTTGCTAATTTGCCCTGCTTCCTTTGAAGGGCATAGTTTACTTATTTATGTATAGTTTTTGGAAACTCTGGTGGAAAATAAGCCAATTCCTATTTGTTTCTGACAGTTTAGAAAGAATTATTTATTGCTTTTATGGGAATGTGCTTCTTCTTTTCCCTCAGACTGGACCTTAGCATTGTACTCCTGGAATGATAATCATCTATTTCTTTCCTCACACTACTGAGCCTGGAGTGACCCTGTCTGACCCAATTGAAATTGATTTTGTTGTTGAACTCCTAGCTAGTGCAAATTAATCTTAGATCCATACAAGATCAGGGAAGCAAGACAAAGAGTACAAAGACCTCAAGTACTGAGGGAAAAATTAATTCTGGAGAAGGTATTTTAAGTTTGGCAAGATAAATGGCTATAATGACTTGCTTTGATAGAACATCTGTAGAAAGGGGGAGGAGAATGACGGGGCCTCTCGGAGAAAAGCTGTAATTTAATAGCCTAATTTCCTGTCTGGTCCCGCAAAAATATCTGCCTGCTCCTAAAGCTGATGAAAATCACCAAGGGTTTGATTTGGTCCCTAGTGTGGGACAAGCTGAGACCCATCTTTCCCTCAGATGCTTGAGGCAATCAGTGGTGCTTCAGCAGACAGAGAAGGTTTCTGTCTCCTCATTCCAAAATAAAAATTTGATCATCCTGAGAAATGTATCCCATGCCCACAAGTGGGGCTGGCAATGGCTATTTGCCACATGACACCTAAGTCCACCCCCCACGTTAGTGAGGAAAGGAATTTTGTTCTGGGATAACTTTTGTAACTCACTCTTGCCTCAATTAAACAAATATGGCTAAATCTCCTAAGAGTCAAAGTGGCAGTCTCTCCCTTTAAGCAGGTTCCTCATCCAAATCACAACTCCGTTCATTTTTTTTTAAATCTTATCCACAATCACTGAAATGCCTCTAGGACACATTTTCTGATTCTTATAAAAAGACAATTCTAATTAGTTCTCTAACACACTGACCTAATTTCCACTATTCGAATGGCCTCCGCCTGAACAGGCACTCTTTGATGGGCCTTGGAGATATGGGATGCCCCGGGGTCCTGCTGCCTATGTCAAATTACTAACACTCCCTAATTCCGGATTCACCATGCTGAATACAATGGACCGTCAAACAGATACTGTGTGCCAGGGTGAGCAGGCTTCACAGCACTGAAATGTCACTGCCTAATAGATTGTGAAGTCTGTGGCCTATCAAAAAGGAAATAGGGGTTCCACTGCTCCCTTCATCACCCCAAATTTCATCTTCACACAGATGTCATGGTCTCTTTCCTTTCAATCTAACGATTTTTATACGAATAAATTTCCAGAAACAGTTGAGTAAGGCAAATGCCAAATTATAAATTAAAGTTGATGATGCTGGCGCTTTAAATAAGTATCTTTTAATATTATTGACTTCAAATAATGGTTAGCTGCACAATGACAGTATTTTAACATTGATCTTAGAATTAAGGAATTTATTTTCACTGAAGACAAAATGAGATAACATTTTTAAAAATATTTAATGTCATCTTACCATCTAAATATAAGACTTTTTCTTCTGTGTGCTTTATTACATTTTGTGTATATATATATTATATATATATTATAAAATATATATGTTTATATTGTATACATATCTATATAGTTGAAATCATAGGAAGCTATTTTCTCTTTTCTTGGAAAAATATGATATAATTGCTACTCTTCTATATAGATTCTATAATAGTAACGTTGGTATTTGTGTAATATTCCAAATTTTATTATTATTTATAGTGGGGGAAGAACATATCCATTGCATATATTTATATTTCTGTGAAAAGATTAGTTCTGAAGACATTTGTTGGACTGTAAATGCATAAAAATATAAATGATTTTTGCCATTTGTTGATTTTTTTCAGAAGAATAACATCAACGTATACAGCCACAAACAAAGGCCAACAGTTTTATAGGTGTGAGTTTGTGTGTTTAAGTGAATGTGGGCAGGGCCAAATTGCATCCATTTCTATTTATCCCCAAAACTAACGATTTGTGATATCTTCCAGACTTATTGAGGCTCCACAGAGTACTTCAGAGAGTTATTGCTCTATTCAATCTTCCACTAGTAAAAAGATAATAATAATAATTTAAATGGAAAAGCTCATTGTAGCTGGGAGGATATGGGGTAAAATCTACACTGTGCAGCAGGGCAGTTCTGTCATGTTCTTATCCAAATAAACAATGTATTTCTCTATAAAAGCAAACATGACCTCAAACTCTAAATCATTTGAGTGAATTCACTGATGCTTTTAATTAAGTTGTATATTAAGTTTATTGTAAACTTAATATAAAATAATAAAATATATGAATTTAAATAAAATAAAATATATGAATTTAAAAGACTTATTAGAACACTGAGGAAATGGTTAGAAGAGTAAGTAATGGTGAGTGAGAGGTAGTAGTAGAACTATTTGAAGAATAAAAGCATTCCGTGGGCCCCTGGATTTCCCAGTAATGATCTCTGGACTGTGGAAAATTCTTTCTACCTTAAAGGAGAGAAAGTATTTAATCTGTATTAAATACTAGATGCACCGGCTTGATCTGAGCCTATTCCATTCACCTGAAGTTGAATTTATCTAAAAAAAAGAATGAAGGATCATGCAGAAGAGTAAATGCAAACGAAACACATGGCTGAGCATTTATGAGCTCTCGGTAGGCCTGAAAATGCAAAATTCAGCTTGGTCCACAGTGTTCAATCCTCAGGCTAGTCCACTGTTTTATTGCAACAGTGGTATATCACTAACGTTTCTTCCTGTGTTCTTCTCCAGGAAACTCTGGGGCGTTATGCTAAGTGTAACGCTAAGTGAGTTAATAGAATTATTCTTGAAGCTCTAAGGTACTTGATCAGAGCTGGGGCATGAATGCTAAATCTATTTCATTTGTAGGTCTTCCCGGGTTTTGTTTCTTAGCAAACAAGAAAATCTAAAATGTTGATAGTGACCTCTGTTAATTCAATAAAATATTCCACCTGCATTGGGAAAGAAGTGTTCCACATTAGCACGAAGCGGTTCTCATAAATCCAAAATATCTAAAGCCTAGGATATGTGATTGGTTATTCTCTGGTTACTAATTGGTAGTAAATGTTAGTAATCAACAATGTGTGGTGTTTGCTGATTTACCCAGGCAAAGCAAGTTACGTTCACTTAGTCATGGACTAATCCTTCAGAGGTAATCAATATTGTAATTACAATAGCTAAAGAAACACAAGAAAAAGAAGGCCACAATAATTTATTGCAAATGATGCTGGTGTCTCTGGAACATTTCCCAAAACAATTATAGCTCATTTTTACATTGTGTTTTCCCTGCAGATTTAGCATATGAATCAGATGAGTATCTAATTGGATTCTGATGCTTTCAAAAATTGTTAAGTTTCCAATTTCTTCCTTTCATGGTGTATTTGGGAGTTATAATACATGAGACAAATGGTTAAAAGTATAAATAGGGCTCAAGAATAGAGCATATGTTACATTTAACCTTGGGCACGTAGAGGCTGAAGTGATAGTCAAGTTCGGTTTAACCTTGATATTAAGACCAAATGAATAAAGCATCTGCTAATGAGGAAATAGAAAAAAAGAAGAGTCATTGTAATTTTGTATAAGATTCACAGAATTAAATTCACATAGATTTAAGATGTATCTCTATGTTATTTTAAAATACTGTGAACTAAGATTGCATTTTTTAAAAGTTCTATATTGGCGTTAACTAGAAAACAAAGGATTTTACTTGACATTTTCAATAATATATCTTGGTGAGATCCATTGCTCTCTTATCGACTTTCTGGTTTACTGTGAAAAAAAAAAAAATCTCTATCAGTTTGTCTCTTTATTTGTTCTTCAAATTTAGAGTGAATCACATAACATACAAAGTACTTGAGGAATTGTTTGGGGCATTAAATTATCCTGGTATTTCTGCCAAGCATTCCGTCTAGAACATGCAAAGCACACAGTTGTTTTAGAACATATTCTCATGTAATTTTGATTTAGTATTACCTGCTTTGGGAATGTAGACAAGCTGACATTAATGGACCTTATTCTGAGCTATGATTCTATGATTTAAGCAAAACAAGTAAGTGCAAGGTAAGAGACTCAACGAATTAATTCCAAAAGGCATAATTTACCTTGACACAGAAGGACAAAGAGGACTGGTACAAACAGAGGCCACTCATCTTCAGTTCTTATCACACAATTCCTTCCTTTGTCTACTAAATCACACAACGGTCCTCTACAGGTTATAGTGCTTTGTCTCATTCCACCGAGATCTTTCCCGTGAAAATGCAAGCTTGTCTCAGCTTCCTTATCCTGAGCATGTGGTGATAGCATGCCTAACTCATAGGATGACTGAGAAAATTCAATGAGCTACATCGTCTAAAGTGCCTTCCATAATACCTGGCATACAGTAAGAACTAAAACAAATGTGAACTATTGTTGCTATTGCCACTGGCTATCATTGACATAATGGCTGACCTAAATTAAAATTCTATTATTTTAAATTAACTTTTATTTTAAGTTCAGGGGTACATATGAAGGTTTGCTATACAGGTAAAATTGTGTCATGTGGGTTTGTTGTATGGATAATTTCCTCAACCAGATACCAAGCCTAGTACCCAATAGTTATTTTTTCTGATCTTCTCCCTCCACCCACGCTCCATCCTCAAGTAGGCCCCAGTCTCTGTTGTTCTCCTGTCTACCCATGTGTTCTCATCATTTAGCTTCCACTTATAAATGAGAACATGTGGTACCAAGTTAACATTCTTCAGAGTTCTAAGGAAGCTTGTAGAAAATCTCAAGCAGCAACCATGCATTCAAAATTTCCACGGAGCTCCAGTACAAGGACTCATGTACTGCTAAATCCTGCCCCTTAAAAACACTCATATGACAGTCTTCTTGTAGCTTATTCCAAAGCTCTTTCCATTTTAAAAGAAACGAAGATAAACCTAATTTGGTTTTTGAGGTTCCTGCATAGCAAGTTGGTAAAACAATCTAGATGTAAGAGGAAAACGGTAGGTTAAAGTGGGAAGAGAGTGAGTGTGTGGCAGAAGCACCCTCTGAGAAGCTGAGCTGGGGTGGCAGGAGCAGGGACCACAGATGGCAAATGCACTTGCACCCGTGTCTGCTCATACCCCAGCCTTCATCCTTTCCAGGCAGCCAGACGTCTTGTCTATTGGGTTTTTCAGTTGAGCTGATCCTTTACTGACTCAGCAACTATTTTTTTGACAACCTATTATGTGCCAAATGGTGTTCTAAGTACTCGTGTTGAACACGTCGGAAAAGTTTCCTGGCCTGAAGGGGCTTATATTTCTGGAATTTTGCATTGCTCTATGCCCCAGGTATACACATAGGAGAAGCACGTGGGAACAAAAACGAAAAAGCAAGCAAAGAAGAGAGGGAAAAAAATAAGACTGGTGGAAATAAGCTGAGGCTTTCTCTTTCCAAGCAGACCATTTCTAAACCAAGTGAGTAAAAGATTTCCTGAACTGAATTCAATCCTACAGCTATGAGTGATCTCTCTTTTCTCTTCCTTTCTGTCTTTCTTCCTCCCGTTCTCTTTTTCTCTCTCTCTTTCTCCCCATGGAGACCGAGAAAGGACAAACTCTTTTCTGTTGCCAACTGCATTTCCCCACTGCTGGTGAGTGATGGATGCATGCACACTGGGTTTCCCACCTCACAGTAGTTCTCACTGCACTATGCTAGGATGCCAGGATACCAGTAGTTATGCACAGTATTCAGGTACCACCAAGTAGGTGCCCACATTTCGAACTTTGGCTTCTGCCCTTTCTACATGCTATGGAGTTGAAGAGACAGCCACAGTGCTTCTAGAAACAAAGGCCATTTTTCTCTAGATCACTGGATTTGTGATTTTCAGATTTATCCTTCTCCCTGGGGAAAGTTTTGTTCCAAATGAAATCATACTTGGAATCACAATATGTAAAAGAGAAATTTGTTCTCCTGAGTGCAAGGGACAAAGTTTCCACATGAACTAATGGCAGTTTATGGACACACAGGGTGCTCATAAGTCTGGCTTGCCCAGAGCCATTCTGGTTTATGCTTACTGTCTTGCCATTATTATTATACTTAACAGTAGCCCCACTCACCTTAATGGTATCCTGGAACAGAAAATCAAGTCTATGATCCCCTAGTGATGAGGGAATTAACATTCGGAAACTTGTTCAAAGTCACACACTAGTTTGTAACACAGTCAAGGATGAAGCCCAGGTTTCTGATGTCTCCTCTGAATTATCAGGGTTTTCTCTACTTTACCCTCTTTCTTCTCTAAGAATAGAAGAGGATCAATATCTCAGTCTACTTTTCTGGACTAGATTAGCTCCTTGGAGTGGAGGAAATAGTAGTATGCTGTTTCCATTTTAAAACCTAATACTAATAAACCATCTGGCCATCCATTAAGAGTTGGCTAGAATGGTAAGGTATAAATAGTGCCGAACTCAAAGAGTGCCCTCCTTCCAAAACAGTACCTACATCTGAATAGAATTGTATCTTAGAACGATCCAATCAGTCAAGCTGTATGAGGTCCCAGCTGTTTTAAACAAAAATGAATTTACTAACTCTTTCTGTAAAATGACTCGCTGGTAGTTGTAATTCTCAAGGTAAGTCCACCATGACCTGCTGCTGTGTGGGAACTCATCCAGATCAGCTTATCCAGGAAGGAGATTTTCCCAAATGAAATTTTTGTCATCAAATCCAATGCAATTTGTGAAATGCTCACAGCCATGTGATGCTGGGCTACACTGTCAATCCCTTTATTTCACTCCTGTCCATGACCCCCTGGACAATACAGGTTCTCCATGCAGCATGAGATGTGGGAGAACCACCTGGAACCCCCCACCAGTCACAGAGGAGCTCCTTAATCCTCAAGAGAGAAGTTAAAATGAATACTGAGGCCACATTATCCACATGTAATACAATTATTAAATCCAGTTAAATGAAGCTCTTGACTACTAACGTTCTGAATAAATTTCTGATATTTAATTCTAAATTTTATTCTATATTTACACTTTTGGAGATGAGGGCAAAGGAAATGCCAGTGGGAACAAAGTCATATAGCATTAAGTAGAACTCACTTTCAACACAAGCAGAGCGTTTCCCCAGCCACCTTTCTTCTCATCGCCAGGTAATTCTTCACCCAGAGAGGTAATCTCTGTCCTGGTGAAACAATTGCATATGACAGACCCCTTCCCTTGCCGCCCTACACCCTCTCCCTCAACCTGACCTCTCATCACCCTTCATTGGAAGAGATAAGGTTTGACTTGGACTAAAACTATCATGATTAATATATTACCATTTCTTCACCCAGGGCCTTACTGATTCTTCTGAATAGTAAGACAGCAGGCCACTAGTGACTGCTCCAGATTCTACAAGTCTAAAATATCACAATCTGTAACTTAGCTTACTTTTATGTCTGAACTGTAGAGTTTACCAATTTTAAATGTATGTATGTATGTATATATATATATGTTTAATATAATTTAAATTTTTTACATACATACATTTAATATACATAATATATAATCCATACAGCACATTAAGACAAAGACAAGTTGTTTTACCATTTCTTTTTCCATATTAAATGTAATGCCAAGTAATTTAAAATATATATATTGTATATAATTATATTATATATAATTATATATAATATAATTGTATATAATGTATATATTATATATAATATATACATAATATATACTATATATTATATAATGTGTATATATTATATATAATATACATTATATAAACTATATTTATATATTACATATAATATATAATATATAATATAATATAATGTATGTTTATATATTACATATATTATATATTATATATTTTTGTATATTATAATTATATAAATATACTATATAATATATAATTATAATATTATATATTGTATATTATATATATTAAATGTATATATGTAAAAATATGTGTATGTGTATATATATATTTTTTATCAAGGTGCATCACTATTTGTTACATGAAAATCTCAAATTATTCTTCGTCTAACTGCATGCTCTTTAGTATTGTGCGGAGCCTCTGTCTTATCCTGAACCTCAGGCTCCAAGGTAAAAAGAAGGAAATATATATGAGCATTCAGCCTTCTCAGTGACCCTTGCTGCAAGGAATCCTTTCTGGTTTTATGATTGCACAATACCTGTCGGATCCACCTTGGTTTATAGGAACAAGTGGAAGAATTTAGGTATTATCAAGAATACGGAAGAGCCACACAACCAATCCATGACTGCACTATGTCCATTTCTCACTTTAATGAGATCCTTGGGGGCAGAGGCAGTTAAAAATAAAATAAATAAATACATTGCAAAACCTCAGACCCATTCTCAGTATAAGTTAGGTGCATTAAGTCTATCTCTGAACAAATAGGGAACAAATTGCCAGAAAATCCTGTTTTTCAAGGGAATTTAACAAAAGCTTGTTTAATGCCTCCACGGGCACTTTTATAAAACCACTATGTGTCCTAAGTATATAAGAAAGTGGACAAGGGAAGCTTGTTCCTGCTTTCCCTGTCCATTTCTACAATAAAACAAAAGCCAGGTATTGTACAGATAAGTAACTCTGTGGGTAGTCATTCTATACACTGAAAAAATGGACAGTAATATATTGGTGAGAGACTGAAAAATTGACAGTGTGTGTGTGTCTGCTTCCCATTTATTCATTTATTGCTTATAGTGTATTTTTGGATTCCTTTTTTTTGTTTTGCAGAAGTGTGCATCAAAAGGGAATTCTCAATAAAACTATTAATACTTATATCTAACCTTTCAACTCTATAGAGCATTTGACAGTCTGCAACATAAAGAAAGACTGTCATTCAAATGTTGTGTTTTTGTAGTTTAAGGAAATTTGGCTCAAGGAAGGTTACATGCTTGGCCTGAAAGAAATCAGTGAATCTTAACTTTATGGGCAATATTATCATTTGATTTAAAAATACTTAGTGAGAGAGGTAAATTACAGCACATTAAGACAAAGACAAGTTGTTTTACCATTTCTTTTTCCGTATTAAATGTAATGCCAAGTAATTAAAAAAAAAAACCTGTTACCCACGCAGCTTTTGAGCTTAGCCGGAAGATGGGATGCGCATACTTTCCAAAAGGCCTGGGGTCTGTGGGTTCCAGGAAACTTCTATCACACAGCACCTGCCAGTCAGTTGAACGTGGGCAGCTTCACCTTAGACCTATCCAGTGTAGGATGGGAAAGGATGGTCCTCCCCTCTTATTATTCCATCAGAGCAATGGCTGTGGACTATGCTGATACCCAATCGCAGTCTTCCTAACCTTACTTTGGACAGCAAAGGGCAAGTTTCTTCTAATTTTTATGGACACAGATCCCACAAAAATGATTTTTAGGCAAAAGGGCTTTTGCGGCAGATTGGAGATTTGTATCATGTTCTCCTCTGAGATACTCCTGCACCTGTTTCTGGGGAAATTCTCACACGTTTCTGTTTGAATATCTTGCATCAAAACAATAGAATATAATCCTGACATTAATGGTATTTATTTCCCATAAAAGGAAGTTTTTATAAACTTCTCCAGCAATTGGGATTTGGTTAGAAAGAAGGCATATGAACTTTTGCAAAGGTATATGACTGCACCCAGGAGAGGGGAACTGGAATCAGAAGGCAAATATAGTTCTACATTTTTCTTAATATATTGGGAGAAAATACAAATTATGTGTTTTAAATAGGGACAATTGGCTCTTTCCTATACCTATAGCCGTGAAAATTAAATTTTCCCTCACTTGATTTGTATGTTTCATATATGTCTCTCTAGGAAGTAAAGCAACTTCCTTACTAAAGAGACATTTTTGTCTCCATCATATGGAAATTACAGATCAATTGTTGATGGGGGGCATGAAACAAAGATTCTGAGCTCACGGTCCACTGATCATTAAGAATGCGTTTGGAAGCCCACCTAGCTTCAGAGCAATTAAGAAGGTTGTAGTGAGCTCACTGCGGAGCGGTGTGGGGGAGGGCTGCACGTCCGTGCCCGGTGGTGCCCTGTGGTACAGAGATGACATTTGCCCCAGGAATATCACTACTTACCAGCAAAAGTAACATCTTAAGGGCAATGTGGTACTATTTTTTCTTCCCAAAAAATTATCTAACCTTTAAAATGTCGCCATTCTAGAAAGTTAGATGTGACAAACAATTTCCACCTACCACAACGATTTCCTTTTGAATGTAAAAGGCCAAAATGATCACAATTCCTCTAAACCTGAAGATAAATATAACATCGTTGTCTGGTTTACCTAAGAATAGAAACAAAAATACAACTAAAATGTTGGATAAATCTGTAAAAAATGCAACTCATGAAACGTCACCAAAGCTTTTCATAACTATATAGACGGATCTAGTTCACTCTACACTGCCTCTAACCAACACCTTGGCAATGTAGGCTATTTTGTAGAGGTCATCATTGTTTTAAAACCAGTACGTTCTCACGTGCTTCAAAGTACTGCAATGTTTTTATTAACTTGAACACAGGAGTAACAAGAATTAATTTTTACTGATGTTTTTCTTTTCAGGACAAAGTGAATCAACACATTTATCTGGTCTTTTATCACATGGAAATACATTTTAAGAAGCTTTACACTAAGATCCTACTTTATGTGTTATCTCCTGGTTAGTCTTCAAAACCTAAAACACTTCTATCCATAATACTGTAAAATTATAACTGAGCATTTTGTAGACCCTAAGGACTGACAATAATACTGCTTTTTACAGAAAGTCCCCATGGTGCTCGCAGGACTATTTAGTACTAAGGGAATCTAGTTCATGCTCTGGGCCAATTCGGGCCCCCTAAGAAGCAGCATCTGAAACAATGCAGTTGTCTTGGTGACACTGCAGGGTCTGAAGCTTGGAAGTGAATCGCAGCTGTCATCCTCAGGACCACATTTCACCATGTCTGATTTCTCTTAGTGGAGTCCAGAGCTGAAGAGGGGATGGGCACTGGGCCTAGTGTGCTGCGTGCATCCTCAACTCTCCCAGGTCCCAGACATTGCTCTCATGCCCATTTTAAAAGTGAGGCAAGTTTGGCTTTGAGAAGTTAAGGGATTTCTAAGTGACCACACTCAAGGCCACATGGATTAGAAATAGTGGCATTAAGTCACATCTGGTGTTCAATGTGACTCCAAAGTCTGAACTATCTTCTTCTTGTTACTGATGAGGGTGGTAGTAGTAGAATCCTTGATGTACTTTTTCGTTTGTTTTATTCTAGTCATAGATAATAAAAAACAAACCATCTACCAGTCTTCTTCTTTAACTAAGCATTTCAGGCAGCTGTTAATTTTTTTAAGAAAATAACCCTAACTTCCTGGCTACAGTTATGTGATGTGGGAGTGAACATTTAATCTAACCTGGGTCAAGTTAAGTTCCAATCCCCAGAAATGTGGGGAAAAAGGAATGAAAAGAAGCAAGTGTAGGGCTGAAAAACAAATAAAAGTAGCTCCTGGAGATCTTTGAATGCTACATGGAGTGCTGTCTTGAGCAGCTTGGATGTTATAAATCTCACGGTAAACTGTGAAAACCCTAAGGTCCCTCAGCGCACTCTCTGTCTATGATATTTATCTTTTAAAAGATTTGGCCTTCTGCACATGCACACATCCAGTAATTCCCAGGTTGACATTTTCTTTTCTCTGATTCTCATAGAGTTTTCTGACCTTTGAGTAACTGCTGGAAAAGAGGCTGCTTATCTGCGACTGTGTGTGTCTCTTAGAATGATGGGGTGTCAGGAAGTGGGATTGGAGGAGCTTCGTCTGCATTAAATCCTTCTAATTTTGGCGCAGAACATGAGTGGAAATTGAGCCATGGTGGCCAATTAGGAGGCGGCCAGCCAGACTCCAGGGACATTTTGTTGAGAGCCATCTTGCAGCCACAGCAGCGGAATGTCATTTCCACGCTGGCGTGCGATTTTGCCTCTTACTCCCAGGGAGAGGTGCAATGAGTGAAGATGAAGAAAGGAAGGAAATACCTTACAGGGAGAAGGGACAGAGAATATACTCAAAGTGACACTGTGCTTCACACAGGCTGAGAGCTCGAGATGCTAGACAAAGAAGAGATCTGCCCTTAAATACATAGGGGCTTTGCTGTCAAAACAATGGTGGAGGCCTCTGTCTTTATAATGCGGTATATGCACAAGAAGTCTTCTGTGCCACCTGAGAATACAACACATTCTTTGCACATACAATCAGCTCTTTGATTGAACGTCCTCTCAGGTGAACCCTAAAGTGATGTAAAGAGGAGGAACAGAATGTGCACACTCAGACTCTACCTTTTTCCAAATGAGTCAACTTGCCAGGATGTTATGAGCAATCTCCTGGCCGTGTTTCCTAAATTACAAAGTTCTCAGTGGCCCCAGGACAATTAAGCTATTCATTATCTTTTTTGCTCTGGTGCACTCAGATGGGTCTCATCACATGACTACCTCTCTGCTGGAAGGCAGGTTAAGCAATGCAGAAGCTTAAGATGTCCTACTGGAAATAACACAAGGTGAGCTTATGAGAGGTAATGAGATAATAATGATTTTGGAGATGGGCAATACAATACCTTGCAGAGATCTACCCATGGGTTGGCAGAGAGTGGGGCCTGTTTGCTCCTTTCACGAAGTAAGTCCTTGGTGGGAAGGACTGCCACTCACTTGGGTCAAGCGTCTTCTGCTAGATGAATTTTAGAATGTGAATTGTTCATTTTTGGTGAGCCTGTTATTAGAACAAGCTCATTTTATTTTTGCTTAAAATTTTTATTTCAGGGTTTTGAGAGAGAATCCATTTCGTAGCTTATCTCAAATTCGATTTGAGTAGGAGCAAAGGTTCTTGCATGACTTGATGGGTTCCCACTTTGGGATGTAGAGATCAATGGCAATGACTGTAGTTATTACTCGAAATATGTCACAAAACAAAGATTTCTAATCATTACGCACTGTAATCAAATGCAAATGATAAAGAGACTGTCATAACCCCACCACCATTTAATACGATAATTTAGAAATACGTTACTTTCAGGATCTTGGAGGAACATGCATACACTTAGATGTGGACATAGCATCTCAGGCAGGATTTTTCACGACAGATGTTTGTATGAATGAGTAACATCATTAATTTCAAGTTAAGATGTTTAAGCTCTTTGAGTGGGAGTGACTGTTTGAAAATGAGTAGCTCTGGTCCCTGTGTATCTGGTATTGGTCACTGGTGTGCTCCAGTGGGACACGAGGTGATGCACTGTCACCAACCAAGAAGTTGATTTAATCCCCGGAGAGAAAGATAGCACCACCAGTATGACCATTACCACCGGAACCAAAAATCCTATTAGTCCTACTAATCTCATCAGCGTCATCAGCATCACCAGCACCACCATCATGCTTGCATTAACAACTACTAGGTACTCATTTTGCTAATGGTTTGCATCCATGATTTACTCCTTCATCAACCTTAGTGTTTCAACGATTATTAATATTCCAATTTTTAAAGTAAGAAAGCCAAAATTCAGATGGATTTACCTGTCTAAGGTCATGCCGCTATTTAATGACACCCAGCCAGAATTTGGGCCCAAAGCAAACGTTTATTCTTTCCTTTATTCTTAATTTTCTAATGCATTTATGGAGCACTTCCTCCATGCCAGGCATTGTCTTACAAACTAGGGATTTGCTAATGAACAAAATGGCAAGACCAAGGCCCTGGTGGAATGGACATTTCAGTGAGTAAAAAAGGTAAGAGACAATGATACAATTGCTCAACACAGTGGGAAGTTGTGAGAGAAAGTGGGGCAAGGAGAAGGTGAGGAGTTGCAGAGAGAGATGAGGATGTCTCAGCACTTTTGTCGCTTTAAGATCCTGTGACCATCGGCCTTCCATAGACCTTCACTTCTTGTTATTGGAATTTCACACAAGGATGGTGAATGTGAGTTGCTGTCACATTCAGCCCTTTTGTTGAAACACATTCCCTCTGAGAGTGACCATCTTTATTTTTAAAGGGAGAAACACTCCTTTTCTTACAAGACCTATTCATATTTCATCACCTCTGTAAAGCGTTTTTCAGAAGTATTCCTTTCTCGTCGTGGAATACGAACGGAGATGTTTGTATGTGAACGTGTGTGAGTGCGTGTGTGAGTGTAGGCATGTTTGAGTGAGTGTATGAGTATGTGTGCACATGAAATGGTTGTGTGAGTGTATGTGAGTGAACATGTGACTGTGGTTGTACAAGTGTGGGTATGGGTGTGTGGGAATGTGTCTATGAGTGTGTGAGTGTGGGTGTGGAGGGTATGGGTGTGTAAATGACATACATCCTCTGCACAGATCCTACTTTTTTTACATGCTGCTATTAGACCACATAGTACATCACATTCTAATGTATTTTGTTTTTATCACAATGATAGATGTTACACACCTTGCAGACATTTTTTTGCTCTTATACTTCCTTCCTCTGTTTCAAACCCCTGCACCCATGTGAATTAAATTAGATATATTTAGTTTGATGTCTTGACCTGCTCTCCAATAACTTTCAGATCATCTAATATGGCCACATACATGACAAGAAGCAGGGAATAGTAACAGTGGCATGGGATATAGATTAGGTTGGAGGGCCTGTGTGATCTTTGACAGGTGAGGTATCTCTTTGGGTCTCAGTTTTAATTAATAAGATAAATAGTATTATTTATCTTCACAGTTTAATCTCTGCTCTGCCACTTATCATCTGTGTGAACTGGGTCCTCATCTCTATTTCCTTGGATATAATATCTGGTTAACAGTAAAGTGTCACTATATGAAGCAGGAGCTCAAATTATATAATAGATGAGAAAACATGCTTTAAATGGCAGTATACTCTGTAAACATCAGTTTATTTTATTTTTGTTAAATTCTTCAAATGCTAGGATTTTTGAAAAAGTATTCCTGAGGTGTGCTACCATATCTGATGAATATTCCACTTTTATATAACCCTGTCCAATGGCAAATAAAATTATTTCCAAGAGATGGCAAAATGGTAGTTCACAAGGCACTGTTAGAGGTGACTTTGATAATTCTATTTTACGGTTGCCCCATACTGCATCTCAACTGATACTTCTCACTGTCCAACATTTGAGAAATTGGATCAAAGTTTTGCTATTTGTACCATTAATATTCTTCTAGCTATATTTTCAAACATTTAAAAAATTCTGTTTTATTAATTCTAATGTAGAATAAATGTGTCAAAGAATCTGAACTTAGGTGCCCTTGGAGTTCCACCAGGACCTGCACTCTTCCACCCCTCCTGAAATTGGCTTCACAACATATTTCTGGTGTTTTTCAGTGAGTGTGATCACATTTATCTTGATACTTTGGAAAATTCTATATATTTTAGATATATTTATAAGCTTTTAATCACATATGGTACACCTGTATTCTAGTCCATTTGGCTTTCAATATCTTAAGGTGTGCTTTACCACATGACATTCATAATTCTGCATACATGTGAAAGTATTAGTATAAAGAAAAATGTTTGCCTTTATAGTTTCTGCTTTGGAGCTGCATTGAGAAACTTCTTCCCCAAGACTAAATAAATCTCCACCTACATTGGAGAACATAATTGATGGTCTCCTATGTGACACATTTAGATTTTTAATTTATCTATAAGTAGAATTGGCTCTCCACATCTGTGAGTTCTACATCCATGGATTCCCCAACCTTGAATAAAAAATATTTGAAAGCAATTGTGGCACTACTGAACATATACAGATTTTTTCTGAACATACACAGAACAAGAAAAAATTATACTTTAAATAATACAATGTAACAACTATTTACATAGCATTTTTTGTATAGCTGTTATAAGAGATCTAGAGATAATTTAAATTACATGGGAGGGTGTGCAGGGTTATATGCAAATGCTCCACCATTTTATAGCATAGACTTGACTGTCTGCAGATTTTGGTACAGTTTGAGCATCCTTAATTTGAAAACTCAAAATTTGCAACATTCCAATAAGCATTTTCTTTAAGCATCATGTTGACACTCAAAAATTCATATTTTCCTATTGATTTGAGAGAATAACCTTATTGTATGTTAGAGTTCTCTGTATAG